>NC_000010.11:5767575-5919090 GCF_000001405.40 Homo sapiens | reverse complement strand
AATGCCTGGCATAACAGAAGACTGCTGGCTTCCTGTGTTCACATCTGCATTGCCTGCTGAGATATACTGTCTTGGCTGACACACATGAAGAAAATTCAACCTCACACAGACATGTGATTGGAAAGGAAGGAGCGCATAATAAACTTTTCGCATAATCAAGGACACTGTGAGTTGTCACATTCATTATGGGAGAGTTTGCCAACATTTTAATTTCACTTGAAAGCAAAGATGTTACTTTTGACAACAAACACTGTCAGTTATTTTCCCTGAAGTCGCAGCTTGTTTCACTTGTCTTTGAAAAAGTGCCAAATACACAAGTCTGAACAACCAGCGCTGGTCTAACAACTGTTCTAAGCACAAATGTACAAGGCGGCAGCAGCCATCGGTTCACAGTTCAGCCGCAGCAGCTCTTCCTCAGACGACCGCTGTGCACACACCTCTTATGAAAACAGTGTGACTTGGCAGACCCCTGAGAACCACACTTTGAGAACCATGGCTTAGAAGCAAGGATTTGCTAGATCTGGTGAGCCTGGCATACCACCTTTCACAGGGCCTGGCACGTAAGACATTGGGAGAGAGATGCAATGCCTCCCATGCAGAGTGCGCACTTACCTGCGTGAGATAGAAGACGTGGGTGTGGGGCACTGTGAACAGGGCGTTGACCGCACCCCGGAAGGTATAGATCTGCTGGTGCGGGTCCCCTACAAAGATTTTCCCACATGGCTGAGACAGAACTATGTTCATGATAGCTGTAACCAACGAGAGGAAAAGTGAGAAACCTTGAGGCCTCCACCCCAGGCAGCAAAAAGAAAAGGACAAAAACACTTCCACGAAGCTAAGCCAGGGCACACTGGACCTCACGGTCGCCTTTTCCTGTAGGACAGGCACACTCCATCAAAAGCAGCCATTTTATAATGGACAAAAGAAACAGTTTCTGGTGCTAGGAATGCAGATTATGTTTCGCCTTGGATGAATTGTTGGAATATAAGAAAACAACACAGGCAAATCTAAAATGAGGCAGTGTCTTCTCTAATATTATAGCACTCAAAATTGACCTACAAAGTCAGACGGATAACACTGTCTGTTCTCTCCTAGCCACTTGAGAAGTAGACAACACAAGCTTTTCCCTGTCAATGGACGATCTCTTCCCACAGAGCATGAGTCTAGGTCCCTGTCGTCTGCTGGTCTACAACTTGGTCAACATGTTAAGAACAACCTAAGCAAAACCTATGGTGACAGAGAAATCTGCTTGGGTGAGGGGAAGGGGCAGCTTGAAATCCTAAGGTAAGTATGAAGATCCTCTTCTTTATCACAAATAATAATAATCAACTTAGTTCACACAGGTGTCCTCTTACATAATCATGGCGCTGTTTCTACGTATTTGACACTACTGATGTCCTGAACAGTGTATCACCTGGTGTGCAGTCCTGGGCCTCATCCACAAAGATGGCGTCAAAAGAGGCCAGCGAAGGCTTGCTCAGCTGCCAGAGTTTCAAGTAGCCTAAAATAAGGAGAGACGCAGGAGTTGTAACGCCAGGAAGGCAGTCCCATTGGCCAGTCCCCGCCATTCGGCAGCCGCCTACCGTCATGAGTCATCTGGTGCGCCTCTTCTGTGCACTCCCCCAGCTTCCGCATGTTATCCCAGAGGCGGCTCGCTTCAAGGACACCATTCTAGGAAGTAAAGCATATGGTAACCCAGAGTTTGAGACCCTGGCAAAGGCAGCACCCTGCGGTCACACTGTCAACTCCCATACAGCAGTGGAGCCAGGGCATCCTCACAGAAGGGGGACCGCAGACACCACCCTAACCTCCTGGGTCTCCTCAACAGCCTCTCCACGCCAGAGGGTCTCCAGTGCTGAGACAGGAAGCAGCCGGGCCGTGCCATGCCCGTGACAGGACAGAGATCATAACAGTTAGGTGAACCAGAAAAGGCCAAATTGTTCTTCTAGATTTATGACTGATGCTTAATTCACAAAAACAATGGCACATGATTGAAAAGACTTGATGAAAAAAAGAAACAGACTTTCCCACTAGCAAAATCTATTCCATAGAACCAATAACCCAAGAAAATCAGGAGAGATTCCAGCCTTCAGTTAAGATCAGTTTTGAGGTCCAGGAGCCCCAGTGACAAGCTCTTATAAACTGAGGCGGGTCGTTCCATGTCTGCCTTCTCTGTTAAATGGGAGGACTATTCCGAGGCTTAAGTGAGATGGTCACCAGTGTCCTTCACAGGAGAAAATACCCAACAATTCACAGCCATCACCATGGGCCTACAGCCTCACCCTCCCACCTTCAACCTCCTATGACCAGGTCTGAAGAAATGAAAGAAGAAATAATGCTGTCCCACACTCCCTGTTTGCCCATCCTCAGATCCCTAACACTTCCCGTTCCCCCATCCTCAGATCCCTAACACTTCCCCTGATCCCCCATCCTCAGACCCCTAACACTTCCCATTTCCCCATCCTCAGATCCCTAACACTTCCCGTTTCCCCATCCTCAGACCCCTAACACTTCCCCTGTTTCCCCATCCTCAGACCCCTAACACTTCCCCTGTTTCCCCATCCTCAGATCCCTAACACTTCCCCTGTTCCCCCATCCTCAGATCCCTAACACTTCAGACACTTAGACACTCACCAGTTTTTCACTCTGCTCAACCATGACTCTCTGTCCTTGGCTGTTCTTACACCAAATAGGCACGTGATCAATGGTCAGCTCTTCGTCAGCCGAGGCAAAGAAGTTTTCTAGAGTCTTACACACAAGCTTGGCTCTTATGAATCCACCCTTCCCTTCAGCAAGGACGGAGTTGACCATGAAGGGTGTTAACTTGAAGAGATTCAACTTCTTCTTTGACTGGTACCTGCAATACCCATCCCAAATGAACAGCACGTGGCTCTCCTGGCTTGGTGCTATTGAACGTCCCCTCCATTCTCTCTAATGTCACCAGGAGGTAGCTTCAAGTGCCACACACAGGCGAGTGTTAATGTTTTAAAGCGAAAAAGTTCTGCATGGTCCATGTCTGACTGGAAATGGCTTTCAGGACTCACATGTACCAACCCAGAATAGGAACCAGCTTTCGGCAGACACTGCTATTCCACCATGAAGCTGGGCTCCAGAAGGTCCCCGGAGGGACCCTTGGAGTTCCCTGATGCCTCTACATCCAGGAGACCTGGGTCAAGTGTGCCTCGGCTGAGTCTTCCTCACTCCCTTCCAAGAAAAGCCTACAACTGATCAGGATTTGTGAGACTCTGAACTTTAAGCAAGTCATTTTGACTTTCTGTGCCTCACTTCCATGAGAACACCCCTCTTGGCAAGACGGCATTATATGTAAACAATATGTTGCTACAGGATAAAAGTACAAATGGCTAAACCTATGTATTTGTTTCCTGCCTGTAAGTGGAGATAACAGCACTACACTCCTCGGGGTCACTGTGGTGTAAGCTCACATGTGATCGTCACGGGAAAACAGTAAGACGCGACCGTGCCAGCAGCAACAGTGCCACTAGTGACAGCAGTACTCACTTCCGCCCTATGTGCCCGTAGGCCATGGAGTGGAAGGTTTTGCAGATGACGTTGCTGGGGAAGACGCGTTCGGCCTGCTTTGCGATGCTCTTGTTGAATGTCACATACAGAAACCTGCTCTGAGACCACTTCTCTGCATACTTGACCAGCGTTGAGGTCTTCCCAGTGCCTGGGGAAGCCAGGAGGAAAGGAGGTGACCCTCTGACCAGACAAGACATGCCCAGGGATCCCCAATCAGGCCTTGTCCAGGCTTATCACACCTCTGTCTTGAGAGCAGGACAGTAACAAGTTTTTCAGTGCTGGTAAAAGTAGTGCCACCAAAAGAGCAGCAGATTCAAAGCCAGGTGAAGGTGGGCTGGGATCTCAGCTGGGGCAGGCTCCAGCCGAGGGGCAAAGGACAGGTGGACCCCTTGACCTCATGAGCTTCAGTTTGCTTCTCAGAAATAAGTGGGTATCCATTAGAGGTAGGGTTCCCGAGGGCAAAAAGGACCCCTCAGGATAGGAGGGTAGGGTTAGGGAGGGGGAAGGCATGTCTCTGGAGAGAGACAGGTCCAGCTTTGAATTCCACCTCCACCACCTATCCACTTATTCAACCCCGGGCAAGGCTCTCTGTGCTTCAGTTTCTTCCTCTATAAAACAAGAATAACTAAGCAACCTTACGGAATGCTATCAGGATCAGCACAATGCCAAGCACACTGCAGGCATTCAAAATGTTGTTGTTGTTGTTAGCAGGGTATTTAGCCACAAAAGGAGCAGGAAGGGATTACAGGCAGAAAAAAAATAGCAAATAGCACGAGCAAAGGCTGTGATGAAAGAGTAACCAAGTACTTCAGGAGGCTGTGAGTGGATCGGCGTGGCTGACTGAGGCAGGACACTTGTAGATAATATATTTATGAATGTAAGTTAAAAGCCAATCTAAGGCAGGCCCTCTAGACATCACCCTATAAAACTGGGGAGCTCCTGAAACCCTGGGCTGGGGATTAACATGCCCTCCCTCTCCAGAAGCAATCAGTGCCTGAGCAAACATCACAATGCTGGGCTCAATCCCGGGGGCATCTGCCCGACCAACTAACTGCTGTGAACTACCTGTCTCAACAGGAATTCTGTGGATGTTCATGGAGTGGTCCGGGGAAGTAAGTATTCCTTGGCCAATTGCTTTTGAGATTGATTATTTGATCTGTTATTGAATTATTAGTTGGATGACAGATCAGAGCAAAGATGCCCTGGCAGGTAGCGGGAAGGGGATGTAGGGAGAAAAGGCAGAAAACCACCACCTCGTGAACCTGATGTGGGCTCCCTTACCGGCAAAGGCCATAATTTTCACCACCTGGAGAGGTTCCATCTTGTGATTCAGAATCAGCTGTTGTTCATGTGTAAGTTGGATGGTTTTCTTGCTATAATCATTACAAAAGAGAAGTAAGAAAAACAGAAAGACGTGAAAAGTCCAGGGGATAGACAGTCCAAAAACCAAACATACAAACTGGATAAACAAAAGCTGACCAAAAAAAAGGCCTCCCCTTACGAGAATAAACATGTTCTAAAGCTAGATTATGATGCTGATGCACAGCTCAGGCAATGTCACTGAATCACACTCTTAGGATGGGTGAGTTTTACACAATTTACATTATTAACCTCAATGATGTTGCTAAAGTGAAGCAAAACATCTCCCTCCTTAAGTATGAGGAAGAGTCGACAGAAGACAAAACACACGCTGACGCACATATACACATACCCTGGCCAGACAGATGGCTCCTCTTTAACTTTTGTGGCCTGAGTGCAGGAATTCTCCTGAAGATATAGGCAATAGAAAATGTTGTAGTGAATCCTACCAGAAAAAAAAGTAGATTTAGAAAGTCTCAAATTCAAGTCACAATCTGCATCTTATTTTTCCTCAGATGGATTTAAACTCCTTCCCATTTCTAAAAAGAAAATACCTACCACCATTTAATGGAAAAAAGAAAGAAAAGGATTTAAATATATCTATGGCTGGCAAAGCATTCTCAGATAACACAGTCCTGGGAAAGGTGTAGTTTCTATGTATATCTCCAAGAGGAGGAAGAGACCAGGACGGGCTCTTCAGGGAATGAGGGGCGCCAGCTGTGACTTGAAGAGACAAACAACCTGAAAAACTGTAAGGACCAGTGGAAGGCAAAGGGAAACACTGCTCCTAGCACTGAGACTCTTGTTTGAATGATACTTACTACACCTGTGGATAAAACACCAGCCTCTTTCTGAGCCTCGGTCGCTCCACTGTCTACCTCTTATGACATGACATTGCTTTAGACGCATGAACACATTCTATCTTTTAAGGTCCCAAGAAAAGGGACTACACTATGGATAACAAGATCTGACTACTAAGGACCTGAAAACAGTAGGCTCCAAGTCACCAAGAGGGACCAAAGATGACAAAGTTCAATCAGCAGAGGCACAGGACATCGTCAGACTCGTCAGACTCAGCTGGCACACGCCGTTCCAAAGCCTCTCCAAGTCTCCCCTGGACTGTGGGGGAGACCGGGGGTGAGCTTGGACTCGCTCCCCCAACAATCGAGTGCACTGCCCCCCATCCCCAGAGCGAAAAGAGCCCATCTCCAAGCCTCGACCTCTCCAATGCAACAAATACCTTTAATAATCCAACATTTCAGATGTGATTATATTATCTCCCAGAAAAAACAGGAAGAAACAAAGAAACGCAACAAAAATCAACATACATACTGCCATGGACTGAAGTGTGTCCCTTGAAATTCCTGTGTTGAAGCGCTACCCCAATGTGGTGTGTGGAATAAGGAAGTAGTTAATGTTAGGTGAGAGTACAAGGGCAGGGCCCTGATACACAAGAATTGGGGTCCTCCTAAGAGGAGACGCCAGTGTTCTCTCCACCCTGTGGGGATGCGGCAAGAAGGCAGCCATCAGCAAACTCTTGGACATTTCTGGGGAATCCTGTCCCCTCCTGGTACCTTGCCACCGATGCCTGGCCACCACTCACTCCCCTGGTGCCACTAGCCACCTTCCTTTAAGGGCTTGCAACTTCCAGGGGCCAGTCTCCCTGGGGAAGGGACCCCCCTCCCCCGGCCCCCAGCCCCCACGGTCTCTGCTTCTCCAGGATGGCTGCACAGTTGATCTACCTGTCCCCATCACTCCAGCTCAGGGACAAGGCCCTTCCCAGCTGCCCAGCAAACCCTGAGTTTTATTCTACATTTTTTTTTTTTTTTTAGACAGAGCCTCACTCTGTTGCCCAGGCTGGAGTACAGTGGCATATCTCGGCTCACTGCAGCCTCTGCCTCCTGGGTTCAAGTAATTTTCATGCCTCAGCTTCCCGAGTAGCTGGGATTAGAGACACGCACCACCAGAAATTTCTGGCTAATTTTTGTATTTTTAATAGAGATGGGGTTTCCCCTTGTTGGCCAGGCTGGTCTCCAGCTCCTGGCCTCAAGCGAACTGCCCGCCTCGCCTCCCAAAGTGCTGGATTACAGGTGTGAGCCACCAAGCCTGGCCTTATTCTACCTTCTAATCGGGGCCTGTAAGATCCCTCAACTGTCCCTGTCCATCCTTCACAATCTTGTGTTCCCTCCCACCCTTGCCACACTGCACTTTTTCTCTTCCTCACATGTCCCAAATTCATTCCCATCTTCAGGCCCTTAAGGCATCTATACCTTCTCTGAACTGCTCTCCCCACAGTTGTGAAACGGCGGTTCCTCCTCCACACTCAGGTTTCACTCAGACACTACCTGCTCAGAGAAGCTTTTTCCACCCCTCTAAAGCAGCATTCACCCCACAGCTCTCTGTTCTATTTTCTCTGCAATGCTCATTACTCACTAAAATGCCATTTCACACATTTACTTACATAGGACCTGTCTTCCCTCACTAGATCAGGAATCTCCTCTAACTCCTCTAAGCCGGTCACAGTGGACCGGCTCGTGGACAACTGTCGGACACACACAGGTGTTCAGTGTTTGTCAAATGCACAACCCCCCAGGCACTCCCCACCCTGCTGAGGAAACCATCGGGGCCCCTGTGAATCAGCAGCCGACACGCCATAGCCTCTCCCGCATGGAGGATAAGGTGGATGAGTCTTTTCCATCCCACAAGTGGGATATGGAGGAAGTAGAGCCTAACATTTTCCTAGGGAAGCGAGGCCACGGGTGAATAAGAAAGGCTTCTCTTGGCGAGGGGCTTCCCCTAAGGCTGCAGGACCCATGATGGTAAAATCAGCCTTAGTGGTATCTCGCAGCCGCTCAGAACTGCACGTTCATAAGGCGCTCTTACCAGCCTTTCCACATCAAACTCTCAGCCCCTGGCTCCTGCAGAAGATGACACTGAGGTGGAGCAGGTGGGTCCCACAGCCTGCCAGGTGCTAACACTGCTAAGTGGCAGGGCTGGACCTGCTGCTGTGTCTGGGACTCTCCCATTATCACAGCATCCCCTCCCCTCCTCCCGGGGCATTACCTATTGCTGATGTTAATCCCCTTCTCCCTCATGGCGTAGAGAAGCACGGCTATGCAGTACAGGGTCTCGGTGACATCTGGCATGGTCACCGTGGAGCTGGGTCTCCGGAGGCAGAAGAGCAGTCGCTGGATGTCATTCACACTGCTGGAGAGGAGCACCACAGCCGCCACCAGGGCCCAGATGTTGACACCCTGCAAGCCAGGTGCACAGGGAGGGAGGGACAGCCCACAGGCCATGGTTAATACGAATCACAGCAGGAAGGAGTCAGGAAAGCCGAGCCACGGGTCCAGCTGCTGGCTACAGACTGTCTGGACTGAATCCAAACTTTCCAAGTTGTATTTGGGAAACAGGGGAGCCCTTCTGTTCGCCCTGGACTCCTTCTCATCACTTTTGGATTTGAGATCTTAGTTTTCTTTAATTAAATAACACGGATGAAGTATCTAACATAGAACCTTGGACAGAGAGACAGTCTAAAAATATGAGCTCCCTGTCATCTCCCCACCCTACTCTCCAGGCCATGGGGGCTCTCAGGTCCATATGTGCTTGGCAGGGCCAGAGCAAAACAGCCAGCAAGGGGCGCCCACCCAAGAGGCATGAGAGACGCAGACACAGGAGAGGGCCGCACGCAGGCTGTGGGGAAAATAAAATCTGGCAGTTCTCCAGCATGACGGTGTTAACTTGCTATTTATTATTAGTAATAACTGTTCATTGTAAGTTAAATAAATATGAAATTATGGAAAGTTTATTTTGTGAAGACAGCATGCTCCTCTTAGCAATGTCTCTGTAAATGTTCGCTTACACAGAAACAGTCAATAGTGGACACAGATCTTCATCTTTTTTTTTTTTTGAGACAAAGTCTGACTCTGTCACACAGGCTGGAGTGCAGTGGCGCGATCTCAGCTCACCGCAACCTCTGCTTGCCAGGTTCAAGCAATTTGCTTGTCTCAGCCTCCAGAGTAGCCAGTACTACAGGCACATGCCACCATGCTCGGCTAATTTTTGTATTTTTGGTAGAGACAGGGTTTCACCATGTTGGCCAGGCTGGTCTCGAACTCCTGACCTCAGGTGATCCACCCGCCTTGGCCTCACAAAGTGCTGGGATAACAGGCGTGAGCCACCACGCCCAGCCTTTACCATTCTTAAGTTACTACACGTCTCTGTGTTAAAGAATGCATTCCAAGAAAGGAACATCCCATCCCCTCTCACTTCAACCATCCTGTGAAAGAAGACCCACTCCACCACCATCAGCAATCATCTTCTTCAAGAGAAACAGAAATGCAGTTGCCTGGGTTCCCAGCCCTCTGTGGCCAGTAAAACACACGCAGAGGTTGCACGTAGCTTCGAAGATAAAATCTGGGAATCCCTGAACTGGAAAAGGAGCAACAGGGCTGAGATTCAAGGAGACTGAGGGTTATTTCCAGCTTCTCATTACCTCATTGTGTGACTATAGCAAGACCCCTAATTTTTCTGTCCCTTTCAAATAAGCAAACTTGTTGATAATGGGGTGGGCTGTCTTGTAAAGAAATCCTATTATTAAAAGTGTTCAGAGGCTAGATGACCACTTTTCAGAAATATTTCAGAGAAGATTCCTCAACCAAATGGGAAATCAGACTAAATGATTTGTTAAAATTTCATCTACATCTAAGACTCTACAATTATATGGCCTTTTATTTCTCCACTGGGGACAATGACAACATGAATGCTTCAAAGCATTCAGAGATTAAATACAGACATTAAAAATAAATATAAAGTCATCCTCAATTGAACTGAATCACCAGTACACTTTCCTCCAGTGAAATAACATGCCGCCTTCTCCCGCAGCCTCCAGACCTACCCCGGCAGCAGCGTAGAGGTCGGGGAGGTGTTGCCGCACACACGCCTCAGCCTCGGGGAGGAGGGGGTGGTCCCTCAGACTCCACAGCACCCTCTCGGGATCCACACTCGGAGAGCACTTAGTGGTGGCTGTGTATCTGTAAGACATTCACAGGAGAGGCCATGAGTAGGGTGACCATAAGCACTGATGTACAAGGAAGACTTCAAAGACGCCTTCTTTACAGCACAGGCAAAGCTCACCGTATGAGGTTCAGCACACACAGGTCTGACTCCTTTTCTATGCCACAGTTAGACAGGATGCCGTCCACTTTGCTGACAGCTTGCTCTTCATTCATCAGGTATCGATGGTACAGCTTCTTCCAAGGAATGAACTATGCAGTTAAAAAACAAACAAAATAACATGAGGCAAAGGGCCATTAGAAAGCAGATTAATGAGGCGGGCAGATCGCCTGAGGTCAGGAGTTTGAGACTAGCATGGCCAACATGGTGAAGCCCCGTCTCTACTGAAAAAAAATACAAAAATTAGCCAGGCATGATGGCACATGCCTGTAGTCCCAGCTACTCAGGAAGCTGAGGCAGGAGAATCACTTGAACCTGGGAGGCGGAGGTTGCAGTGAGCCGAGATCAAGCCACTGCAGTGCACGCTAGCCTGGGTGACAGAGTGAGACTCCATCTCAAAAAAAAAAAAAGAAAGAAAAAAAGCAGATTAAGCCACAAACACATAGATAACCTTTTACCAGTGAAAAGCAATCACAGCTCACAATTCAAAAGCCAGGAAAATCAGGCAGAAATGTTACACAAATTTTTGTTGGAAACTAGGAGAACTGGGTCTTGGTCTTGGTTCTAACACTAACTTGTTATAGTTAAAGAATCTGGGAAAAACTATAGCTTCAGTTTCCCTGTCTGAAACATTAGTACACGTAACTCAGGGTTTCAATGGGAACAAAATAATATGAGAGCTGTGGCTATACTAATATCAGACAAAACAGACTTTAAGTCAATTCTGTCTGTTAAATACTGTTATAAGAGACGAAGGACATAATGATAAAAGGGTCAATTCACCAAGAAGATATAATAACTATAAATATATATGCACCACACATTAGAGCTCCTAAATATAGGAAACAACCCCTGACAGAACTGAAGGTAGAAACCAACAGCAACACAATAATAGAAGGAGATTTCAACACTGCTATTTCAATGATGGATGGAACAACCAGACAGAAGATAAATAAGGAAAACAGAGGATCTGAACAACACTATGGACTAAGCGGGCTGAACGAACATATACAGAATACTCCACCCAACAACAGCAAAATATACATTCCTCTCAAGGGCACATGAAACATTCTCCAGGATAGATCACCTGTTAGGCCACAAAACAAGTTTCAACAAACTTAAAAACCACTTAAGTTATTATATGAAGTATCTTTTTAAATCACAATGGAATGTAACCAGAAATCAATAGCAGAAGGAAAACTGAAAAATCCACAAATATATGGATATTAAACAACATACCCTTGCCCAGGCACAGTGGTTTATGCCTGTAATCCCTGCACTTTGGGCAGCTGAGACAGGCGGATCACTTAAGGCCAGGACTTTGAGACCATCCTGGATTACATGGTGAAACCCTATCTCTCCTAAAAATACAAAAATTAGCCAGGCATGGTGGCACATGTCTGTAATCCCAGCTACTTGGGAGGCTAAGGCACAAGAATCACTTGAACTTGGGAGGTGGAGGTTGCAGTGAGCCAAAGTCGAGCCACTGCACTCCAGCCTGGGTGACAGAGCAAGACTCTGTCTCAAAAAAAAAAAAAAAAAAACCAACAACAACAAAAAACACATTCTTAAAACAACCAATGGGTCAAAGAAGAAATCACAAAGAAAAGTAGAAAATATCTTGAGACAAATGAAAATGAAAACATAACATACCAAAACTTATGAAATGCAATGAATGCTGTTGGGCTGTTTTAAGAGAGGGGTTTATTGCTATAAATGCTTACACTCAAACAAACAAACAAACAAAAAATGGGCCAGACATGGTGGCTCACGCCTGTAACCCCAGCACTTGGGAGGCTGATGGCAGGCAGATCACTTGAAGTTAGGAGTTTCAGAGACCATCCTGGCCAACATGGTAAAACCCCATGTCTACTGAAAATACAAAAATTAGCCGGGTGTGGTGGCGCACGCCTGTAATCCCAGCTACTGGGGAGGCTGAGGCAGGAGAATCACTTGAACCTGGGAGGCAGAGGTTGCAGTGAGTCAGGATCGTGCCACTGCACTCCAGCCTGGGCAACAGTGGGAAACTCTGTCTCAAAAAAAAAAAAAAAGAAGTCAAGGGAGATATGAGGAACCCTCCAGGTGGGGAAGGTGGGAGGATGAGAGCAACCCAGGGAGGGGAAGGAATGTGCAGTCTGTGGTCAGGGCACAGCAGATGAGCTGTAGACAGAACTCAGGGAAGCTGTGTTGAGTGGAAGTGAACAAAGAGGCTAGAGTCATAGGGTGGGGCAGACACGGAAGGCCTTAAATGCCTCTAAGGAGTCTGAATGTCTTCTGAAGGCAAATGGAAACCATTTCTGAAAAGATCCTCTGATTATAAGCGTGCATTAAGCAAAGTTACGTGCTTTTAGAGGAAACATCTCCCGACTCCAGCACTCACTCACCAGCGGGTCACTGATGATCTCCCTCCACAAGTGGCACACCAAGCTCAGGTTCCAATAGAGGTCTTCCACCGGGAGGAAGGCAAACACGTGCCTCAGGACCTCACTAGGCAGGCTGCAAATGTGGCTCAGTGCTTCCTGGCAGGGCAAGGTCCCAAGAAGCCCATAGTATGAGTCAGGAATGGGATCAGGACCCACGTCCCCAGCATCTTGGTCGGTTTCACCAGACTCCGCAGAGAGCCGAGACGTACTGTCCTCTGCTTCTTGCCTGGCCTCCCTAGGCCTTGTGCATGGCACAGACAAATGGTGCCGTGGAGCTTTCTTAGAAACTCCATCCCACCGGCTGGTCCCGGTAGCCTGGTTACTCTCTTCCTCAGAGGACCAAGACCGCTTCCTGGAGGGCGGGGCAGACCCTGGTGAGCCCGGCCCTGCACTGCCTTCCTGAGGCAGTGCACAGCTGCTCTCTGCAGGAAAGATCATGTCACCCTCAGAGTCCTGACAGCTGTCCTGGCCAACAGAATTGCTTTTGGCCATGTCATTGGTGCACGGCTGCTTGCCTGCTAGGAAGAACTCAGGGATGCATCTTTGACTTCCCTGACCTGTAGAGAGAACCCAAACAGGATGGACAAGAAATGAACGATGACTGTTGACCTGCTGTTAATCCATATAAGACACACTAATTTTCAATTATCTATGTTAATAGTGGAAAGAGATAAAAACACATTTATGGGCCAACTGATTATATAAATAACTAATCCAAACAATATTTATATTTGGCTCTATCATATTACCAGACACACATTTGCAAAGAGACAGAGACCAGTCTTCACATGATGTGATGGCCAGCAATACTCCCTGCAGTAAAAACAAGTACAGAGAAACACGCTGCACAGGGAACATCTGAATGGACAGACAAAAAGGAGGTGACTGCTCACAACCACACCGCCACTCACAAAGTGCCCCGCTCCCACTAACTCTACAACAGCAAGTCTACATGTGCTTAAGCAGAAATTCACATGCTTGGGGTCATCAGGATTCGGAAAATCTCACTCTTCTCATTTGACAGTGCTAAAACTTTTATTTTTATTTCTTTTTTATTTATGTATTTATTTATTTTTTAGATGGAATCCCACTCTGTCGCCCAGGCTGGAGTGCAGTGGTGTGATCTTGGCTCACTGCAACCACCACCTCCCAGGTTCAAGTGATTCTCCTGCCTCAGCCTCCCAAGTAGCTGGGACTACAGGCGTATGCCACCATGCCTAGCTCATTTTTGTATTTTAGTAGAGATGGGGTTTCGCCGTGTTGGCCAGGCTGGCCTAGAACTCCTGACCTCAAGTAATCCACTCACCTCGGCCTCCCGCAAAGTGCTGGCATTACAGGCGTGAGCCCCTGCGCCCAGCTTTTATTTGTATTTCTTCCTGTGAAGGTGACACATTAATTTATTTTTAAAATAAAAAGTCGGGACTCAGAATTCTCTTTATAGTGTTAGAGTGGTACCTAATCTCTTCTACATGTTTGTTCAGTGAACATTTACTAAGCACCAATGATTCTGAGACAAATGTAAAGTGAAAAACCTCACAGACTTTTCAGGAACATAGGGAACATTTTCAAACTCCTAAAAATTATTTTTAAATGCCAAAGAAGTAAACACTTTATCAATAATACATAGTTCCTTTCTAAATGGCTGTATCCAAAATATTCACTTTGGAAGAGAATGGACTGAAACTCGGTTTAGCCTTTAACAAAATTTATGAAACTGAAACAGATATTTTTCTATATTAGTAAAATTTAAAAAAAAAATTATAACGGTTAACTGTTTCTTGGGCAATCTGATAGAAACCCAGAGTTTTGACTTCACTATTACTACAGGTTAAATCCATATGATCAGGGTTAAATCCTAGCATTTTCTTTTTTAAAAAATATTATTATTATTTTAAAATAGAGACGGGGTCTCATTATGTTGCCCAGGCTGGGCTGGCACTTCTGGGCTCAAGCAATTCTCCCACTTCAACCTCCCAAACTGCTGGGATTACAAATAAGGCATGAGCTACTGCTCCCAGCCAAATCCTGGTATCTTCCAACTGTTGAATCCAGTCACACCCACAGTCACTGAGATGTCACCACGTGGTCAGGGCCACCTCACAAGTCCTTGTCAGTAAAAAACTCAAAATAGAGAAGAAACAGACTTCTATATATGGAACAAACTCAGTATCAGACAGGATATAAGTAAGTTTCAAACTGCCTCATACAGTTGGTTATAGTAGTTCCCACAGCAGGAAACATACAATAGTTAAAGACAACCAGGCTGGGAGAGGTGGCTCGCACCTGTAATCCTGGCAGTTTGAGAGGCGGAAGCAGGTGGGTCTCTTGAGCCCAGGAGTTTGAGACCAGCCTGGGCAACGTAGCAAAACCCTGTCTCTACAAAAAAATACAAAAATTAGCTAGGCATGGTGGCGCGCGCCTGTAAGTCCCAGCTACTTGGGAGGCTGAGCTGGGAGGCAGAGCTGCAGTGAGCTGAAATGGTGCCACTGCACTCCTGGATGACAGAGCAAGACCCTGCCTCAAAAAAAAAAAAGACAACCAGATAATATTTGAGTTGAATTCTGAAATTAGTTGTATCAAAGGGAAATAAGGCAATCTAGATTTATTAACTAAAGTGGGAATTCATTTGGTACATAGTGGGGACATTCCAGTTGATTTAGCAGAGATAAAATCTGAAGTCAAGGAGCAAGGTTACTGTAGTAGTCCAGGTCCTAGGTGACAAAGAGCTCAGGATGAAGGAATATTTTGGAGGAAAAACAATGACACATGGACCTAGTGACAGATTGGACAGAGAAGATGAATGAAGAGTCAACTAATCTCAGTGTTTCTGGATTGGAATAAGAGTGACACTGGCTCATGTCTTCTATCACTTTATAATTACACAAGCTAATAGGATTCATTCCATCACACTTGTCCACAGCTTTTACAAACTATGATAATAGGATAGAATTTTCATGGAAAACTCGGCGGGGCGCGGTGGCTCACACCTGTAATCCCAGCAGTTTGGGAGGCCGAGGCGGGTGGATCACCTGACGTCAGGAGTTCGAGACCAGCCTGACCAACATGGAGAAACCCCGTCTCTACTAAAAAACAAAATTAGCTGGGGGTGGTGGCACGCACCTGCAATCCCAGCTACTCAGGAGGCGGAGGCAGGAGAATCACTTGAACCCAAAAGGCAGAGGTTGCAGTGAGCCGAGATTGCGCCATTGCACTCCAGCCAGGGCAACAAGATTGAAACTCCGTCTCAAAAAAAAAAAAAAAACTTCATGGAAAACTCACAATAAAAAAAGTGTCAAGCTATTGCATGAAGACTACAAACTCACAGCAGCAACATTTACAAATACTTTTAAACTAGGAGATAGTCAAAGGACCCACACACTACAGGTTTTGAAATGCAAGAGTTTTAGAGGAGACATACCCCTACTCCCTCTTTTTGTTCTCGGTTTAGGATAGAGACCATGGTTCGGATCTCTGTTTGTCCATCTTTGACCGAAGGGCTGGGTCACAGCCAAGTGACTCCGAGCCAAATGCTGGCAGTCAATGGCAGTAAGATGCTTCCGCTTAAACCGTCTCACTGTTTCATACCAGCAGGTAGAAGAAAGGGGATATTCATTAGTTATCACCGATTCTACAAGCTAGCCAGCACATTATACTCAAGTTTCTGCATAGTGACACGATTTTGTCAACACCCCAGCCAACCGTTCCCCCCTCCCCTTGCCCCCCAACTTTGTCCTTTCAATTTCTTCGCATTTTTCTTCCTTAGAATTGAAGAATCCTAAGTGACATTTTAAGATCTTAAGTTTTTTTTTCTACTTATACTTTCTAGAAGACTTGGTCATGAAATGCTCATTTAAGAAAACGTTGTGGCTGGGCGCGCTGGCTCACGTCTGTAATCCCAGAACTTTGGGAGGTGGAGGAGGGGGCAAGACATTTTTAGTAAGTCTACTAAAAATACAAAAATTAGCTGGGCGTGGTGGTGCAGACCTGCAATCCCAGCTACTTAGGAGACCGAGGCAAGACAATCGCTTGAACCCAAGAGGTGGAGGTTGCAGTGAGCTGAGATCGCACCACTGCACTCCAATCTGGGCGACACAGCAAAAAAAGAAGTTGTCACTAGTGGATATACTGAGGTTTGGCATCTGTTCCTTAACTTTCTCCAGGCCATTTATATTTCTATTATAATCAAAAGTATTTAAGAATCGGCTATATATTTTTTTAAATAACAAAAAACTTTTATAACTTTCTTTTTTGTTAAATGGTTAAATTTTTTTTAATTGTAGTAAAAAGCACATAACATGAAAAGCACATAACTAGAAGCAAAACATCATGATAATAAAACAGGCTGCAGTTTCCTTGAAAGAAGGACCAAAGGGCACACATGTCTCAGCCCCCCGAGCCCCTTGGTATTGAGAACTGACTTGAAAGGACAGGAGCGACTCCCCCAGCCCCCAAATGGAAGAGAAGCCAATTCCTTTTCAGGACCTTTAGAGGAGAAAACTTCATATCTTCCCTTAGCAAAACACTACAGCAACAATTGCGCCTAGAATTTTGTTTCAACGGTACTGAAATACTTGGTTTTGTATTACTCATCTTCTTTCAGGTAATTCTTATCCATGTGTAACCAAGACTCTCCATGCTTCTGCATCTGTTACTGCATGTAAGATCTAGCTACCTCCTTATGGCATGAAACACTAAAATGTAAAGATACACTTCTTAAAAAATAAGAATTAGGTCAGGTGCAGTGGCTCACGCCTGTAATCCCAGCACTTTGAGAGGCCAAGATGGGTGGATCACTTGAGGTCTAGAGCTCAAGACCAGCCTGGCAACATGGTGAAACCCCATCTCTACTAAAAATATAAAAATCAGCCAGGTGTGGTGGTGGGCACCTGTAACCCCAGCTACTCAGGAGGCTGAGGCCCAAGAATCACTTGAACCCGGGAGGCGGAGGTTGTAGTGACCCAAGATTGTGCCATTGCACTCCAGCCTGGACGAGAGTACAACTCCATCTCAAAAAAAAAAAAAAAAGAAAAAGAAAAAAAAGAATTAAAGTTAGCCTTTATAGGAGATGGTCAAAAGAGAATAAAATCAGGTTCTACCAGTATCATATTTTCACAGATCCTAAAAAACACTCCAGTAGGTCGGGCGCAGTGTCTCACACCTGTAATCCCAGCACTTTGGGAGGCCGAGGCGGGTGGATCACCTGAGGTCAGGAGTTCAAGACCAGCCTGGCCAACATAGTGAAACCCCGTCTCTATTAAAAATAGAAAAAATTAGCTGGGCATGGTGGCATATGCCCCGGAGGCTGAGGCAGGAGTATCGCTTGAACGTGGGAGGCAGAGGTTGCAGTGAGCCGAGGTCGCACCATTGCACTCCAGCCTGGGCAACAAGAGTGAAACTCCATCTCAAAAAGAAAATAAAGAATACTCCACCACTAAACTATGGTATCAAATGCCAGAATCTCACTCAACATTTCTTTTTTTTTCTTTTTTCTTTTTTTGAGACAGAGTCTCCCTCTGTTGCTTAGGCTGGAGCACAGTGACACAATCTTGGCTCACTGCAACATTCACCTCTTGGGTTCAAGTGATTTTCTTGCCTTGGCCTCCCAAGTAGCTGGGACTACAGGCCCCCTCCACCACACCCAGCTAACTTTTGTATCTTTAGTAGAGACGGGGTTTTACTATGTTGGCCAGGCTGGTCTCGAACTCCTGGCCTCAAGTGATCCGTCCACCTCGGCCTCCCAAAGTGCTGGGATTACAGATGTGAGCCACTGTGCCCAGCTTGACATTTCCTTTAAGCTTGAAAATACATAAAGCCAAGACCCCAGTGATTTAGCTGATATAGTTTACAATATTTTTTCATTATTCCTCCCTAGCTAATTCAGAAATCACCCTTCCAAATTTCAGTTAACTTTTTCAAGGTTTAATACCAGCTTTTTTAAAAAAAAACTTCATGAATATTTTAAGACTTTTCCAAAATCAATTCTACAAACAAAAGCAGTTCTGAGAGCCCCTCTGAAAGGACGCTGGAAATCGTCTAACTACCTGAACTCAGAAGCTGGGTGCAACCCCATGAGCGCCAGGCCTCAGCAATCACAGATGCGCTCACTCTCACGAAGCAGCACAGCGCAGCGTGGTGAGCCGGCGAGGGCCTGGCGGGAGGGCTGGGCTGGCACCCTCAGCTGGCCACTTGGTTGCTCTATGGCTTCAGGGCACCTCAGGTCTCTAAGTCTGATAGGTCTACGGCCATACCACCCTGAACGCGCCCAATCTCATCTAAGTCTGATAAGTGTCATCAGGAACAGATGAGAAAATATGCTCAAAACTGTCTGTCAAATTATCCAACTGCATGCATACAAACTTACCTGTTTCCTCTATTTAACAAGGCTTATGTGAGTAGCCTGCCTAAGACATTGAAATATCCTTCAAATTATAAAGATGCCACCTAATGGCAAAGCAGGAAGTGTATTAGCAGCCCAAATACAGCCAATTCTGTATTACTGGAAATACCTTCTAAACTAACCAGTAACATGTCTCGCTTATTATGAACAGAAAAGCAAACACCCCCTCCACTTTGATGGTTTTGTGCTGGTTTGTGCTGGTTCTGTAATGTTGCTGACCAGTTTATTTAGAGGAAAACAACAGCAAATCATCTTATTCACACAGAAACAAAATATGAATGTGAAGTTTCTCTACATTAAAAACTAAATTTGAAGTTTTCTACATTGGAAAGAAAACAAAGTCTTGTTGTTCTCTTTTTAAAAAATAAGATGAAATTTTATTTCCTGTGTTCAAAACCCTTCATATTACAAATATAACGCAAGGACTATTTTGCCTGAATGGGGACCTCTGGGCATATCTGCAAAAGAGACAGGTAGAGCGGCAACATGGCTTCCAGAACACCCGAAAATCCTGGGTGAGGTGCCCCACACAATGCTCAACAGCAGGAGCAGCTGCAGGACTCCGGGCAGCAAATCCACAGGCCCTATAGATCCAACAGAGTGGACTCATGCCTGCTTTTCTCTCTCCTCAAACAGTCCCAATTGCTTCAGAGCTGGTCAGTACAGTATCTACAATTAGAACTGGAGACACTATGTGTCCTGATGAAGGGTAAGGAAAAAAGGAAAAAAATAAAATAAATAACTGGAGACACTCACTAAAGAAAGTTACCAAGAGTGAATATCTCACTTAAATAGGAGGTGAACATCTACTGCCACAATGGCCTGGAGAAGAAAAGCTTTCATGGATAAAATCATGAAGGAAAAAAACAAAACAAAACAAAACAAACAAAACAAAAAATCACAAAGGAGCAAGATCAACATCAAACCACTCATATCTGAGACCCAGGACCTCAGGCCAGCTGCAGGCCTGCTTAGCTGAATGGTGTGTCAGGTACCGAAGGCTTCTGAAAGTCAACGAAAAGGCACATAACCAGTGAGAAAATCAGGCTCAGTTGAAGGGTCTGATGCCCACCCAAATCTATGATGGCCTTCTACATTTGGCTTTTGGAAACAGCTACAAACAGAGGCTGGCAGATTTGTATAGAAGAGGTACCTACACATGCAGGGTGAACCCTGGAACGTTTTTTGTGAAGTATGTAAGAATGGCTTTATCGAAGCCTTCTGCAGCCACCTCACTGTAACAACGGTGCATTGATAATGACCATCAATGAGATGGAGATGTCTCATCACATGCCTGAGAGTCGAAAAGACAGTAAGCATGCCCCAAGGTAAGCAGCTAGCCCACCTGGTTCACTGCTGTAACTCTGTATGTAGATAGCGTGGGGCCAGACATATAGTCTGTGCCATGTACTCAACGTTCATGTCCCTGAAATTCACACACTGAAATCCTCACCCGCAAGGTGACGGTATGAAGTGGTGGGGCTCTGGGCCAGGCACAGTGGCTCATGCCTGTAATCCCAGCACTTTGAGAGGCCAAGGTGGGTGGATCACTTGAGGTCTAGAGTTCAAGACCAGCCTGGCAACATAGTGAAACCCCATCTCTACTAAAAATATAAAAATTAGCCAGGTGTGGTGGCGGGCACCTGTAACCCCAGCTACTCAGGAGGCTGAGGCCCAAGAATCACTTGAACCCGGGAGGTGGAGGTTGCTGTGAGCCAAGATTGTGCCACTGCACTCCAGCCTGGACAATGGAGAGAGATTGTGTCTCAAAAGAAAAAAAAAAAATGCGGTTCTAGGAAGTGATAAGGTCACAAGGGTGGAGTCCCCACAAATGGGATTAGTGCCCTTATAAGAGAGGTCTCAGAGAGCTCCCTTACTCCTGCCACCATGTGAGGACACAAAGAGAAGGTGCCGTCTATGAACCAGGAAGCGGCCCTCACCAGACACCAAATCTGCTGGCACCTCGATCTTAGACTTCCAGCCTCCAGATCTGTGAGTGAGAGAGACTTCTGCTTATAAGCGGCCCAGTTATGGTATTTTGTTATACCAGCCCAAATGGACTGAGGCAGCACACGTTCTGTGAATACTGAGTGGGTCAAGAAGGATGAGGAGCAGGGAGAAGAATTCGGCTGGGAGGTCCAGGAGCCTACACTCTAATCCCTAGGAATATACTACAGAACTGCTCCCACAGGGAGACCTCCCTGGTAGCTCACAACAGACTGATGACAGAACATCAAAAATGTTCAGTCCCAAAGGGAACTGCTTTGGAAAAGGTAATATGAACAGGATAGATTTTTATTTATGTATTTATCTCAGAAAATACGTCTGAATCCAAAATGCTTGTTGCGAAGATTAAGTGTTTGCAGAAATCTAACAAAGACACAGGAGTAACAGAAAGTGCTAATGGGAGTGTTGGAACACTGTGTTCTGCTTCAAGGGAGTCCCGGTATATTCCAATATGTTCTGGCATGAAGCCACCCTGGGAGGAACTGAGGTTCGGTACCGGGGGAGGGGCGCTTAGACTGGTGATCTGGCCTCTGTGCACTAAGATAAGTAACCTATATAACTGGAATGGCGTTACCAGCCATAGTTTGGCTGGCGGGAGAGCTGGTACTTTTATTGGATTTTTATTAACACTTTTATTGGATTCCCCACCCCTTGGACTTATTGGATATATGTATCAAAAATAACTTTTCTAACGTCAGCTGGAGGTCAGGAAAACTAACCTGTATCTCTGGTCTCAGAGAGAGGTGCTGTGATGCTCTGAACTGGGAGCCAGGAGCCCTGTGTCCACCTCCTCCGCAGGAGCCCTGTGTCCACCTCCTCTGCAATTACACGCTTTACACTTAATGTTCCCTTAAAGCCCCTCCGAGGCTGTGGGGTGCAGGAGAAGACCCACACTTGGCAGGTATATTCATCGCCAAAGCCTTGCTTATGAAAACGAGGATTATAATAACCTGCCATGCTGAATTCAGAGAATGAGACAATATATATGTAAGTACTCAAGCCACCCACATTGAGGGTGACAACACCTATCTCTAAATCTATGTCAACACCTAGCAACAGAAACGTCAGAAGAAATATGTGACTACCACACCAATCTGAGGGTCTCCTAAGGCACATCAGTTTTAATAGCATTAATGTTCTTGCTAAATGGTTAAAAATAAAACCAAAACACTACACTAGAATTCTAATCACCCTTCTATTCTTATTAATATACCTTTTTAAAAAGCAGTTCAAAAATAACTTTATCAAAATAAGAATGCTCAAATGCTACTTCTTCCATAAAAATCCTCCTTCCCTGAGTCACGCAAAGCTCATGGTATGCCTCCCTCTCTACACAGCAAGTGCACTTTACACCTCCTGTAAAGGGCATTTACTGTTAGAAGCTGCTTGTGATTCTTTAGGGAATGAAATTATCTGTGGTGAATGACCACAGATAAAGGGAAGCTGTGTCTAAACTAGGGGTTCTTGTGGGTGCAGAGAGATTAGAATCACTTACGGGGCTTTGCAAACTCTACAAGGCCCCCAGAGTTGTTGAAATTGGTCTCCTACACACCAAATTCGGCATCTGTGCTCCCACCCTTGGACACTCTCTTCCACAATAACCAACAGAAATGTGTTAGAGCCCTCAGGTGTCAGGGTAGAAAAACCAGAATGTACACAAACCATTTTGTCAAATGAATATTCCCTAGGCTTAAGTAAGCTCATTCCCACACTGCCTTTTCTGTGACGGCTTTCTAACAGTGTGACTTCTCTGTCCTCCACCCCAGGGGTCCCCATTCCAGGACCCACCTCTCTTTGCTAACCCTCAGCTTTTAGCCCTACCCCAGCAATTCCTGGCCTTTGCTGACTTTGAAGTGGTCAGATCTGGAGTTTAGCCCTCCACCACCCCTCAAATCTCTTCACCTTGATGACAGTCTATCCCCTCCCAGCCCACTCTGACCCACTCCATGCCCTGGTGAGGTCCCCCGATGGAGATGAGACCCTTATCAGTCTCCCCTGAACGAGTCCTTACAAGAACTCTGCTACGGGGAACTAAAAGGAAGGGACCACGTCTATCCCCTCATTCCTCAAAGTGCACAAGGGGGAAACAAGAGACACTCCTGCAGTCGCAGAGTGAGAACTGCGTGTCTGCCACTCCTCCCCTATGCTTTCATTTGCCTGGCTTCTTTTTTTAATCTTCTTTATTGAAAACAACTTACAAAACAAGTCACAGAAAGTGAAACTGAGTGTTTCAGGTTTTGCTGCAAAGAATGTTGTTGCTCTTCTCCCTGAGCACACAGCTGGGCTATACTTCCCAGTCCTGCGTGCAGGTGGATGTCGCCTTACCGCTGGGTGCCAGCCAATGCAATGGGAACAGCAGCAGCACACGCCTCTTCCAGACCTGCCCTCCACTCTTCTCCTCTTCCCCTTAACTGGGAAGCTGATTCCCAGGACATCCTTAGAAGCCGGGTGTTCAAAATAGAAGAGCCTCCAGCAGCCTCAATCCTCGGACTACTGCTTTAAAAAGAACCCTCCCTCCCCACACCTACACACACAAACTCCAACCACCACCATGACCTGTAGCCTCCTTAGATTGTTATGGGATTGAAAAATAAACGTCTATTGTGAGGCCATTACATGTCTGGATCTATTTGTCACTGCAGCAAAGCTTACCCTAACCATTCAGGATCATTTGAAATGGATACCAAATAATTTCCTTTCTTCCTCTACCTTTACTAATCAGAATTCATACCAAAAAGTCCTTTAAAACTTTTAGGTTACAGACCTAAATGGACAAGATGAAGACAATAAGTACCTAGAATTCCTGGAAGTAAATATTATTATTAAATAATTGCTTTTTCAAAAAAAAATCAAGTTGACTCGCTAGTACAAGGTACCTGACTGGAGAAACTGCTACAATACCATACCCAACTTTAACAAAGATCCACAGAGGGCAGTTTTGCTAATCTGGACAATTTTGGAGTCAGCTAACCGCCCTGGTCAGTTTCCCACATGCCTCTTACTTTCAGCGTGCTCTGTGAAGACCAGCAAGTGGGCACTCGTCCTCTGGCATCTCCTGTGGAGATGGCCCAGGGGCCCTGCGCAATGTAGCCCATTATCACATGACTCAGGCACTTGACAGGTCCAATGGCAGCCTGTGAAACGGGAATGGCCCAATTTCAACAGTTAACTGTGTTATCTCTCAACTCCAGCACCATAAAAGTATTCACTCAAGCCAGGAAGCACTTCGCAGGAATAAAACCGCCCTGTACACCCGAGATACTTGTAACAATTCTTTGTGTAAGTGTGCATTTAACATGTGTCTTATATGAATTATTGTTTTTAATTGCACTGTATTACATATTATATTAATAACAATTATTTGTATAAGTCTGTATTTAATACGTCTTCCATCCCAGACTAAAAGCTCTCTGCTCTAGTGGGAAGGAGTAGAGAGGTACTCACACCCAGCATGTAACACACATTGCTTCATAAACAATTCCTGATTAAACGAACAAATGTGCAGCTGCAGCACTTCTTCTGAAGTGTGGGCTGTCTTCCTTGGCTTTGAAGCTCTCAACTCTCCCAGAGCTCCTAAGTGCTTTACAGCTTTTGCAGTTCTTTCCTATATTCTCGTCTGACCCTCAAAGCAATCCTACAATTGTGCCATGATTAAGCTGGGGCTCAGAGAGGACTTGCCTGAAGTCACCTCGTAGCTCATGAGTGATGGTGCCAACACAAGAACCCGGGTCTCCTGACTCCCCTAGTCCAGTGCACTTCCTACTGTGACATTCTTCACTCTGTATCTAGACACCTTGAAAGCAGCTTCTGAAAACCTCAAGTTTAATTTCCATATTACATTTTTTTAAAATCATTGTGAAATGTCAGAACCAAAGAAATTGAGAAGTATTTGGAAAACATAACTATAAGGAAAATACCACTAAATGCTGTAGACCCGAAATGGAAAAACTTCAAAATATTGTGTCCCCATTAGCTCTAAAAGAAACGAATGCAGAAAGCAAGCAAAATAGAGCTCCAGCTCCTTTCCCAGGTATTCACTGACGCAGAGCCAGGCTACCACAGCCTGCTTCTCCAGAAATCCAAAAGTTCCCAGGCAGTAAGCTCAATCTCCCCGGGATCCTCTCACATCTGAGACACCTGTGACTCCCTTGGAGACAGCACTCGTGTATGACAGCCAACAAGGATGGGCTGGGCTTTCCGTTCTATGTTTTTCCTAAAGAAAGAAAGGAATGTTTGAAAAACAAGAGAAAGATCACTACTTATGGTCTAGAATATAATTTTATATATTTGAAAGGCTTTTTCTACAGTCAATTCATTCCACAACTACTTTTACGTATCTGCTATGTCCCAGATTCATTTTAAACTCCATGAGAGCTTTGTCTTATGGTATCCTTGGTGTTAAATGCTATTTTAGACATTAGTGATACAAAAGTGAATAAGCCTACCCATAAGGCAGCTACCAAAACAAACACAAGTTACTAAAGATAAAGTAATATAACAACTACATAAATGCATGCATGAAGTGTTATGATAGTAAAGAAACATAAATAGAGTTAGGCAAGTTGAAAAAGGCTTCACGAAGAGTTGAGTCTTGAAAGAATCATGGGATTCAGTAAGGCGGAAGGAAACAATGTGTGCAAAAATACAGAGGCATTAACAATGCACTAGAGTGGCAGGAAAGCTGGGCTTCATCAAAACAAGAGGTTCCCTGATGAGGAATGACAGGAGATAAGGCTGGAAAAGGAATTTGGAGCCACAGACTACAAAGGTCCTTACACATAATGATAAAGAAATTGGGCTTCAAAAAAAGAAATTGGACTTTATCAGGTAGGGGCTTCAAGGTATCATCCAATTTTGTTTGTTTGTTTGTTTTTTGTTTTCAGACAGAGTCTCACTCTGTCTGTGGTCCAGGCTGGGGTACAATGGCACAGTCTCGGCTCATTGCAACCTCCGCCTCCCAGGTTCAAGTGATTCTCCTGCCTCAGTCTTCCGAGTAGCTGGGACTACAGGTGCACACCGCCACAGCCAGCTAATTTTTTGTATTTTAGTAGAGATAGGATTTCACCGTGTTGCCCAGGCTGGTCTAGAACTCCTGAGCTCAGGCAATACACCTGCCTCGGCCTCCCAAAGTGGTAGGATTACAGGCGTCAGCCACCGCGCCCGGCCTCATCCAATTTTTAAAGCAGGGTCATTACACAATCAAATTTACACTTTAGGACAGTGACTCGGGAGAGAGGATAGAAGGTGGAGAGACATGGAGATTGTCAGGAAAACAACTCAGAAAGCCACCATATCAACCTATGTGAGAATTGGCAAAGGCCTGAGAGTAGCAGACCCTGCAGGTGCATAAGAACATGGCTTTGTTTGACAAGACAGAAAGATAAAAGATAAAGAGCAACAAGGATAACTGGCATTTCTAGTAGAACATTCAAAGAGATGTTAATGTCATTAACCATGTTAAGGAATAAAAGAGAAACAGTGTTTGTGTTTTAATCACTTTTTCCCCCGGAGTGAGAGGGAGGCTGAAAGTCCTAGTTTTAAAAATAATTTCTGGCTTTAAGTTATCTGTGGAATACCATGTTTATGCTCCAGGAGGTCCTCTGAAATCTGAGACTGGTCTTCAAAAGGCATGTGAATGACAGTTACAGATATAAGATTTGAGATGCTTTCTAAAAGTAGGTAATTTCACAGCCAGAAAGGCAAAGATGGAATCCAAATTCAGTTTCCAAATAAAATCAGCCTAGGAGGGATAGAGGAATGAGATAAGCAGCAAAAAGATGATGTCAACAAACCCAAAATTAGAATTCTAAATCTAATACCAATAGTGGTGTCTACACACACTCACAAATCACGAAACCTGTCAAATGATCAGTGTACCAATGGGCATGCTCAACAGCATACCCATGAAAAACAGGAGGAAAAGGAAGGGCAGCCAAGGAGCAAGTCGGTGCCAATGACGACTACATGTGACGTGACTGTAAAGGCCAGACCACAACCTCCAAAAGTCTGCACGAAAGAAATGAGCAGCCCAACCGGAAAACAGCAAGACCCAGGAAACAGCTCCATCCATTAGCTTACTGTTCAGATCCCGCCCCTCTAGACCAAGCTTTTGCCCAGAAAATCACAGGAGCTGCGGGACAGATTCACATACATTATCATTTAGTTATCCAAAGGGGGATACAGAGCAAAGAAGGTTCATAGAGAAGACACAAGAGGCAGAATCGAATGTGCAACACCAATGAAGTAACCAATTATCCTGGGTTCAAATATTCCAACCTGGCTAGGCACGGTGGCTCACGCCTGTAATCCCAGCATTTGGGAGGCCGAGCTGGGTGAATTACTTGAGGCCAGGAGTTTAAAGACCAGCCTGGCCAACATGGTGAAACCCCGTCTCTACTAAAAATACAAAAAAATTAGCCGAGCATGGTGGCACACGCCTGTAATCCCAGCTACTCGGGAGGCTGAGGCAGGAGAATTGCTTGAACCCGGGAGGGGGAGGTTGCAGTGAGCCGAGATCGTGCCACTGCACTCCACCCGGAGCAACAGAGCGAGACTCTGTCTCAAAATATATATATATATTCCAACCTACTGTGAACCCGTGTGTCCCAATTATGTTTAAAAAACAGGGAAACTAGAGACATAATGCAAGAGAAGATAGTCATCTGAAACTGGGAGAGGGGCAGGGGTAAAAGCAAAAAGCATGAAGCTACCAGATGCCTCAACTTCCAATTTGCACTAACTTCAACGGCAGCAGAACACTGCTTGGCACGCCCTACACTTTTGTGCATTTCAAACAACTTTTATGCCTTCCTTTTTTTCTTTTGCTGGAGTGACAAGGCACGACAGAACAATAACCTGAGCAAAGCTGGTACTTGGACTAGTTCTGTCTCCAGAGGCTATCCACATCACTGTTACCTTAACCAAACTCAATCTGCTCATGAGTAAAACGGACTTATCTTCATGGGCCCATTCCAGAAGTCTTTTCATTTATCTCCGCTCATTTTACCACAGCGGCAGACGCTGGCGGACACTCAACACATGCTACCATCCTGCCTTCCAGAAGACTTTATTACCTGTAATTCTGTAAGAAAGTCACTGACTTGGTTAGGCCTCCACTTCCCCACCTGTAAAACCCTACTGATGCCTCATAGGGTTGTCTTCGGACCACAGACTGCAATAAAAAATGTAAACGGCACTCGTTTTTAGGCCTGGCAAATAGGAGCTACTCCCATTCTACTCCCTAAAGGAATCGAAAACATGGAGAGGTTAAGTGACTGGCACCTAATCAGATCGGGTAAGGAACCCAACACCTACTGATCTCTTCCATCACCCACAGCCTGCCCAGCTCTCGCCGTGCCCTCCACCAGCGCCAGGCCTCCCACATCGCCTTAGGCTTCCCATGCTCAGAGGAGGGGCAGAGAAGCTACCGATGACACAGGGGCAGAGGGCAGCGAAAAATGACTTGCCCAAGGTCAAAACGTCAGAGTAGACGGGAAAGCCTGGCCTCCTAGCAGCCGAGGCCACGTCCCCGCGCTTGCCCCTTCAGCCCCGAGGACCCACACGCTGCGCCTTCCTGGCCTCGGGGGGCAGCGCGGGGGCCGCTCCCGACCGAGTTCAGTGAGCGCCCTGGCCTCCCCCGCGCACCCCCGCCGCGCCCTCCACCTGCCCACGGCCCGGACGGCCGAGCCCCCACGCCCGCGCTTGCCCGAGCCCAGCCTCGCGCCCCCGGGGCCCCCGCTGCCCCACCCCGGGCCCGGACCCCCCGCGCAGGACCCCGGAGGTTAAGTTTTCCACACGGCGGAGCCCCTCCCACACTCCCTGCCACGTCTGCGGCCTCACGCACTGTGGCGCTCCGGACCCGGACCCCGCTGCCGCCGCCGCCGGGCCCGCGCCGCCGGCCGCTCAGCCCAGCGTCCCCCGGCAGCGAGCTCCTCCTCTGGCCGGGACCTGGAGCCCGAGACGCCCGCCGACTTCCTCCGCGAGCTCCGCCCCGCCGCAGCCCCGGGAAGCGCCCGCCGCCGGAGCCGGACTGACGGCCCCCGCGACCAATCGGGACGCGAGACCGGAGGGGGCGTGCTGACGGACGGCCACTAACGCCAATCGAAATGCGCAATCGGTGGGGGCGCGGCCACAGCTACCGGGCCACGCCCCATCCGCGCTTCCGCTCGGGCCGGGGCGGAGCGGGAAACTTTCCCAGAGTTCCTTCGAGCTCCCCGAGTCCCCGCGGAGCAGCGGCGGTCGAGGGGCGGGGACGGGGGCGGAGCCCAGGAACGCCGGCCCCCAGGGGCTGGAGGCTGGGGCGGCCCTGAGGACGCGTGCGGGGCAGGTCACGCTTGGGCCTGGCTGCCTCAGGAGCCACCCTGCACGGCGCCGGGCGAGGCTGTGCGCGCCCTCCCGGACCCTCCACTTTGGGGCTTTGCGGTGTAGCGGCGCGCCCCACTCCCTTACGTGTTCAGTCCCGAATCACGTACGGGCCGCTGCAGCTCCAGGACGGCGGACGCCAGCGCTCTCGGATCCCCAGGCCCCTCCGTGCTCATCCCGGACCGCTCCGTCCCTGAGGAAAAACCGCCCCGTGCCCGGAACCGCGGCTTCTCCCACGCGGGGCAGGCCGGGGCTGTGAGGGGGCAGCCCGCCTGCGGACTAGGCCGGGGGTTTGAGGAGGCGGCTCTGCCGGGGACAAAGCCGGGGGCGTGAGGGGCGGTTCTGCCGGGTTCGGGGCGCGCGGGGCAGGTTGCGTGAAGAGGCGGAAAGTCCCACTCGCCCTCGGCTTCTCCCTGCCCGGCCGCCGGTGTCCCGCCCGCCGCCTCCCCGCGCAGCCCGGCCCGACCCGCGGCGATGGCCCAGCCCGGGGACCCGCGGCGCCTCTGCAGGCTGGTGCAGGAGGGCCGGCTGCGCGCCCTGAAGGAGGAGCTGCAGGCGGCCGGGGGCTGCCCGGGGCCGGCCGGGGATACCCTCCTGCACTGCGCCGCGCGCCACGGGCATCGGGACGTGCTGGCCTATCTGGCCGAGGCCTGGGGCATGGACATCGAGGCCACCAACCGAGACTACAAGCGGCCTCTGCACGAGGCGGCCTCCATGGGCCACCGAGACTGCGTGCGCTACCTGCTGGGCCGGGGGGCAGCGGTCGACTGCCTGAAGAAGGCCGACTGGTAGGTGTGGAGCGGAAAGACACCCCGCCTCCCCTCTACTCGCAGAGTCGTAGCGAGTTCCCTGTGCTTCTCCGTCCCCTTGGACACCGTAGCTGTTCTCAGCTCCTAGTTCTCACCCCAGGCCTGCTCAGCGGCAGGGACCTCCTGCCCAACTTTCCCTTATAACGCAGATGACCTGCAGAGTCCCTCGTTCCTGCCCTTGTGGGTTAACTGGTCGGGGCAGTCACCTCCCTTTCTAGAGCACGGAATAGTGTAGAATATAACCAAAGAGAATGTTACCAAACAATGAAGTGTGTGCACTATACAGATAGCCTCCGGATGCGATGTTCTGGGGACATTTAGCTAAGTTACTTCTGCACCAATGCATTGTTTCAAGTGGCATTGCTCCAATCAATATCCAGAATTCCTGAGTTATACACGCGCTCGTGTGTGTAGAGCACAGTGCAGTTGTATCACATACGTGCAGCCTTGCATAACCACCACAGTCAGAGATACTCTGCTCCACCATCACACAAGCCAATTGCATTTCGTTTGTTAGATTGACACTGATTTTAGTACTCACTAGGTCAGGTTCGTTAGAGGGCGTGAACATCTTTAGGAACATAGGGAAGTACATCTTCCCCACTGGGGCAGGGGAATAGACTTCGTTATGTGTTGAGGGTTGTCTGTGGGTTTTCTTAGCTCTGCTCCAATTCACTGCTATCCTGTGAACTAGCTTATAAGCTGCTTTGTCTCCCAGGCACCCTCTCCTCTAGGTACACGTTCGTTACAATCATTTTCCCCTTATTATTTCTCCCAGGGTCCTCACAGAAGGCACAGAGGTTGCCGGTCAAAGCTGTTTTCCTGCCTGCCAGACCCCTGAATCCTCTAGGTTTTCCATCTGTGCCAAGGATGTGTGTGTTTTGAAGACCTGGCCCCTGGCTTCTAATGTCTCAGCTGCCTCCATCTGACAGCTTCTCCTGGTTGGCCTTAGGACTCCTCTGATGATGGCCTGCACAAGGAAGAACCTGGGGGTGATCCAGGAGCTGGTGGAACATGGCGCCAATCCACTCCTGAAGAACAAAGATGGCTGGAACAGTTTCCACATTGCCAGTCGAGAAGGCGACCCTCTGATCCTCCAGTACCTGCTCACTGTTTGCCCAGGTGCCTGGAAGACAGAGAGCAAAATTAGAAGGACTCCTCTGCATACTGCAGGTACAGCCTACAGCTCTGCAGGTGAGCAGTACACACATGTGGCTGCTTCACCCAGCACTGCCCAACCGCATCTTGTTCAGGTCACCTTCAGGGGAAAGGAGGATTTTGGAAAACAGAAGGCAGAGAATAAGAACATCTGGGGGGGAGGGGGTGGGGGCGGGGGCGCGGGTGCAGTGGCTCACGCCTGTAATCCCAGCACTTTGGGAGGCCGGAGGCGGGTGGATCACCTGAGGTCAGGCGTTCAAGACCAGCCTGGCCAACATGGTGAAACGCCGTCTCTACTAAAAATACAAAAAATTAGCCGGGCGTGGTGGCGGCTGCTTGTAATCCCAGCTACTGGGGAGCTCCAGAGTCTGAGGCAGGAGAATGGCTTGAACCCAGGAGGCAGAGGTTGTACTAAGCCAAGATTGCACTACATTACACTACAGCCTGGGCAACAAGAGCAAAACTCCATCTCAAAAAAAAAAAAAAAGCATCTAGGGGCCTTTTGGCATATAATCAATTTCTAAAGTTAACATAACTTGGCTAGCATGCTGTGGTATTAATTTATTTTTCGTGTGTATCTGTGTTATCCTCCCTAGATTATTTGCCCATGAGCTGGTTCTGTAGCACATAGTCTTTGACCTTGGGTAAGGAAATTAGTCTCTCTCTTGAGCAAGTTTCCTCATCAACCAAATAATAATGTCAGTGATGGTATGTCTCAGGGTTGTTGTAGAGTTTAAAGAGCATGATGTATGTAAATCCTTTAGACAATGCTTGGCACATAGCACAAAATAACTGGTTAGTGCTATTTTCTTTATCATGTTTACATTCTTACTCTTAAAGGCAGGAGGGAAATATATATCCTCATAGCCTTAGTAACACCTACCATAGTGCTATACTTTTAAATAAATATAGATACTCATAATTAAATACCTTGGCCCAATAACATCTAATGTAAATTTGGGTTACAGTTTTTATTATTTGGAGTAGTGACTCTTAACTCTGAATTATCTATTTGTAGATTATTTTAGTAAAAAGTTTCAATTTGCTCATTTGTTTGAAGAAAGTAAAAAGAAAACAATTAGTAAAAAGTAAAATTACTGTAATTTCAGAAGTTAGATATTAAGGAGCTCAAGAGTCTAGATTAAGAAATTCAGAATATAACTTGTAGCTTTCTAGGTAGTACATTGATTAGGATAGAGGGCTTTTAGTTTCTCTAAAAATCATCACTTGTGATGTTTTATAGTGTTGCTTTTTGTCTTTTGTTTTTTTTTGAGACAGAGTCTTGCTCTGTCACCCAGGCTGGAATACAGTGGCACGATCTCGGCTCACTGCAACCTCTGCCTCGCAGGTTCAAGCAATTCACGTGCCTCAGTCTCCCGAGAAGCTGGGATTACTGGCGCATGCCACCATGCCCAGCTAATTTTCATATTTTTAGTAGAGATGGGGTTTCCCCTTGTTGGCCAGGCTGGTCTTGAACTCCTGACCTGAAGTGATCCACCCACCTTGGCCTCCCAAAGTGCTGGGATTACAGGCATGAGCCACAGTTGGCAATTAGGGACCAAGGAATCATTTCTAAAACTTCTTAAGTAAGTAGAAAACTTTTTTTTAGCTCATGAATTATTTGACCAGTTTCTCCCCTGGAGAAACAATCAGCACTCCATCATTCACCCAAAATAGTGGAAGACAAATAGTCATAACCTTTGAGTATAGTTACTTTTAGTAGGGGAATTAAATCCAGGCTATTTTGCCATGGATTACTGTTACAATATTTTGCATTTCCTGGGCAAAAATGGACTAGTCTTGGGGATCCACAGCACAGAAGTGTAACTTTAGGATTGAAAGTTTCCCATGAAAGTGCACGTGAAGATAAGATAATCAAGTGTTGGCTGTGTACATATAAAGTGAAAACATTATTGTTTACCGCTTTATCCAGTTAAATATTTATTCGTGTAGGGCGGTAACAGTGTACCCAATTTAATGACTCCTTCTTGTAAGCTATCACTAATAGAACGGGGCAGAGAGCAAAGCCAGGAGGCAGGAAGCATTTTGTGTGTGCACTAAAAAGCTCTAATTCTCAGCTTTCTTTCTCCTCCCAGCAATGCATGGCCATTTGGAGGCAGTCAAGGTGCTTCTTAAGAGGTAAGAACAATACAGCAAGTCAGGGAAAATATTTGCTAACTATGACAAAGAGTTGATATCAGTGCTACATAAAGAGCTCAGACACATTTTTAAGAAAAAAATTAGGCTTTCAAAAGAAAAATGAACAAAAGACATAGCAGATAAAGAATATGAAACAAAAATAACAAATATCTGGGGAAAATGTTTTCAGCGGCAAAATCATCCATTTCTCTATTTTTTTCAACGAGCATTTATACATTCATTTAGTGCTCGGTGGCTCACGCCTGTAATCCCAGCACTTTGCGAGGCCGAGGCGGGCGGATCACAAGGTCAGAAGATCGAGACCATCCTGGCTAACACAGCGAAACCCTGTCTCTACTAAAAATTCAAAAAAAATTAGCCGGGCGTGGTGGCGGGCGCCTGTAGTCCCAGCTACTCAGGAAGCTGAGGCAGGAGAATGGCGTGAACCCAAGAGGCGGAGCTTGCAGTGAGCCGAGATCGCGCCACTGCAGTCCAGCCTTGGCAACAGAGCAAGACTCTGTCTCAAAAAAAAATAAATAAAAAATAAATAAAGCCCTGTACCAGGTGCAAGGGCCACAACAGAAAGAAGACACATGTAGTTTCTACCCTCCTGGAACTCAACAGACTGGCAGGAAAGACAGACCATGAAGGAGTCCCGAAAGTCTGTTGTGCATTACAAGGACTTGCAGGATCCCTACAGAACAAATAATGGGAAGACCCAATTTGGCTTAAGAGTAAAGAATCTCAGCGCCAGTGTTTAAGCTGTGACCTGAAGGAGAAAAAGAAATTAGCTGAAAGCGGGAGGCAAGGGACCATTCCAGACAGCAATAACAGCACCCACGGATGCTCCAAACCAGGAACAACTGTGGTACATTTAAGAAAACAAAAGACGCCTAGAATATGCTGAGCCTGAACAGTGAAGGGGTGGGAGAATGAATGCTATCAGCCACATTGAGGATTTTCCTTTTTTTTTTTTTTTTTTTAGTTTTTGAGATGGAGTTTTGCTTTTGTCACCCAGGCTGGACTGCAATGGTGCAATCTCAGCTCACTGCAACCTCCACCTCCCAGGTTCAAGCGATTCTCCTGCCTCAACCTCCTAAGTAGCTGGGATTGCAGGTGCATGCCACCATACCTGGCTAATTTTTTATATTTTTGGTAGAGACGGGGTTTCACCACATTGGCCAGGCTGGTCTTGAACTCCTGACCTCAGGTGATCCACCCACCTCGGCCTCCCAAAGTGCTGGGATTACAGTCGTGAGCCACTGTGCCCAGCTCAGACACAGATGTCTTAAATATTTTGGCTGTGGAATTGAAGGATGGGGGTAATCAATTGATTATGAAGGATGCAGGAAAGGCAGTGGCAAGGGGTGGCTTCCAGGTCTCTGGTGCAGGAAGCTGAAGAGACCAAGTGCTGTCAAATGGGATGGAGAAGGTTAGAGGAGCAGCAGGTCTGCTAGGGAAGACCATCACGCTCCTGAAGGCTTAGTGCTCAGTTCGGACACTGAGATGGGGGAGAATAGAGAGAGCTCCATGCTCACAGGTCATTTGCACACACGCAGTTCACCTGCAGGTGATCAGGTGTCAACTGTCCCCTGGGTTTGAGGTATTGAATTTTCTCAGCTCTTACTTGGGGTTTTGGCTCTAGGTGCCAATATGAACCAGACTACAGAGACAACTGTGGCGTCACCGCCTTGATGGACGCAATCCAGTGTGGGCACATCGACGTCGCTAGGCTGCTCCTCGATGAACATGGGGTATAAAAATGGTTGTGTTTTTATTCTTTTGGTTCTTCCTATAAATTTTAGGTCACAGGTTAAGCAGAGCACATTGTTACTCAGATCCCAGGTTCCATTCCCCAGCCCCTCCAAACTCTCTCTCTGGAACTTGGTGACCTCTTTAAGCACCAGTGTTCCCATCTGTAAAATGGAGAGAAATGTAGTTTCTTCAGAAAGTTTTACAAGGATTAAATAATATAATGTACATAAAGCAGTTAGCAAAATATTCAGTAAATGGTAGCTGTTTTATAGCAATAATAACAACAAACTGTCTCTGCTGATAGTGCTTTTGGCACCATAGCCTGGAACATTGAATCATAACCATCTTTTTGATTAGAGAGCCCTTTTTTGAGAGCAGGGCGTGATGGCTCATGCCTGTAATCCCAGCACTTTGGGAGGCCAAAGCGGGTGGGTCATCTAAGGTCAGGAATTTGAGACCAGCCTAGCCAACATGTTAAAACCCATCTCTACTAAAAATATAAAAATTAGCCAGGTGTGGTGGCACACACCTGAGGCTGAAGCAAGAGACTCGCTTGAACCAAGGAGATGGAGGTTGTAGTGAGCCAAGATTGTGCCACTGCACTCCACCCTGAGCAACAGAGTGAGACTTCGTCTCAAAAAAAAAGAATCCTTTGAAAATCAGACAAAAGCCACATATCCTCTGCCCAGAGAGTTGTGCGTAAACAGCTCAGTTTTGCTGAAGTGCCAGCAGATGCCCAGATCTAAGTTGCCCTGTTTCTTATCTTTGACCTTTGCTCCTTTCTCTCCTCTGCCCACTAGGCTTGCCTTTCAGCAGAAGACAGCCTGGGTGCCCAGGCTCTGCACAGGGCAGCTGTCACAGGGCAGGACGAAGCCATCCGATTCTTGGTCTCTGAACTTGGCGTCGATGTAGATGTGAGAGCCACATCAACCCACCTCACAGCACTTCATTATGCAGCTAAGGTTTGTTACTTCTTATAACGTTGTCCGAGCTTCCCTGAGGCTTGCCTTACTTCTTTGATCAGTAGCTCTGCAGCCTGGTTTCTTTGACCCCATCTCTATGGAAGAAATTGCCCATGATATTCTTCTGAAATGGTCAGGATTCTGAAGCGCTTTATCTCTTTAAATAGAAACCTGACTTGAATTTGTTGCTAGACAAAACTTTAAAAAAAAGCCTTTTACTCCATAAAGTGCCTCCCCCTCACACACAGGTTTTTGTTTTCAGGAATAACGTTATTTGAAGCTATAAATACCCATTGTATGAAATTCCTGGCTCTCTGTTCTTATACTGGATTTCAGAAGTTAAGAACTCTTCAGCCAGGGCAAGAGAATTGCATTTACTAGGCTCTCTGGGGTATATTGAAGATAAGCAAACATTTTCACTGGAAAAGTAGCTGTTTTAAATGCTAGGAGCGTTTTGCATATTATCCTTAACATTATCTATTGGCTTTATGCTTTTACTTATTTTTTGTTTTTTTTTTTTGGTTTGTTTGTTTGTTTTTGTTTTTGTTTTGAGATAAAGTCTTGCTTTTTTGCCCAGGCTGGATTACAGGTGCCTGCCACCATGCCTGGCTAATTTTTGTATTCTTGGTAGAGACGGGGTTTCACCACGTTGGCCAGGTTGGTCTCGAACTTTTGACCTTGTGATCCACCCACCTCGGCCTCCCAAAGTGCTGGGATTACAGGCGTGAGCCACCATGCCCGGCCTACTTGTTTTTCTGATCAATTACATTTTCCTGCCTGATGTCCTGCTTTCGAGCAGCTGGGTAGATACACATGATGTGCTCTGTGGCCGCAGGGTGCTCCCATAGGAAGAGTGAACCTGGAACCTTAACTGTAGTCTCATCACATAGTAGCAGACTAACTGGCTAGACAAAGAGTGTATAAATTATTTTATAGGCCAGGCGCAGTGGCTCACTCCTGTAATCCCAGCACTTTGGGAGGCCAAGGCGGGCGGATCACGGGGTCAAGAGATCGAGACCGGCCAGGCGCAGTGGCTCAAGCCTGTAATCCCAGCACTTTGGGAGGCTGAGGCAGGTGGATCGTGAGGTCAGGAGATCGAGACCATCCTGGCTAACACGGTGAAACCCCGTCTCTACTAAAAATACAAAAAATTAGCCGGGCATGGTGGCAGGTGCCTGTAGTCCCAGCTACTAGGGAGACTGAGGCAGGAGAATGGTGTGAACCTGGGAGGAGGAGCTTGCAGTGAGCCGAGATCGCACCACCGCACTCCAGCCTGGACGACAGAGTGAGACTGTGTCAAAAAAAAAAAAAAAAAATCAAGACCATCCTGGCCAACATGGTGAAACCCTGTCTCTACTAAAAAATACAAAAAAATTAGCTGGGGGTGGTGACACATGCCACTAGTCCCAGCTACTCAGGAGGCTGAGGCAGAAGGATCGCTTGAACCCGGGAGGTGGAGGTTGCAGTGAGCCAAGATCATGCCACTGCACCCCAGCCAAGCAACAGAGTGAGACTACATCTCAAATATATATATATATATATATATATATATATATATATATATATAAATAATATTTTTATTTTATAAAATATTTATTATAATAATTCCTACTAGCTGTAATAGGAATTCCCATTTATGAGCGGTTATGATCTTTTCTAGTTTATCTCTCCCCTAAAGATTTCAACAAAGAGTATATTTGCTTGGGAAATTTTAGAGTTTTGGGTTCTGTATAAATCACAAGATTTGTACTGCTCACAATGATGGAAACTAACTGCATTGGGTCAGTAATTTGGCTCACAGAGTTGATCATCTATATTCTAATAATTAAATGTCACCAAAATATTTATTTAATGATTTATATTAGAATTGAGAATGATACAATATCTTACTTTAGATATGAAAATTTGGCTGGGCGCAGTGGCTCACACCTGTAATCCCAACACTTTGGGAGGCTGAGACAGGAGGATCCCTTGAGCCCAGAAGTTTGTGATCAGTCTGGACAACATAGTGAGACCTTGTCTCTACAAAAAAAAAAAAAAGAATAAATTAGGGAAAAAAAGATGAAAATTCACTTTTAGCAGTCGACTGTTTTAGAAAAGGTGCCTAATATATGTTAGAGTCTGTGTTTAAAGTGTGAAAGGAAAATAAAAACGTAAGACCCCCAACTCACTCTGCCAAAAGAAAAAAAATTAAGCTGAAAGCTGAGTCATGCAGAAAGCTGCCTTTCCTTTTGTTCCTAAGCAGATAGCTACAGATAAAGGGTTAAATATTTCCACAGGTAGCTACTTTATATTCACCTTATCTTATGTAAAGTGCCAATTTACTGAGTGGAAAGAGATATTTAATGTATCATTGCCTAATCCCCCCCCTGCTCCTTTTATCCTGCAATGTGGATTCAGTAATGTGACCATACCCTCCTCCTCTTCACTCCAGCCCTCTTTTCCCCTTTAAATATTGAAGCCCTCAAAATCATCTTTGGAGAGAGACACAGACCTGTCTCTCAGGTATGTCCTTAACCTTGGCAAAATAAACTTCTAAATTGATTGAGACCTGTCTCAGATACTTTTTGGTTTGCAAAAGGTTTTCTTTTATCCTCATCACAGTGATAACAAATTTGTTTCAATTCAGGAAGGACATACAAGTACAATTCAGACTCTCTTATCCTTGGGAGCTGACATCAATTCTAAAGATGAAAAAAATCGATCAGGTACCGTTTAATTTTATATATGCCTTGGAAATTAGTAAACTGAGTATAACCAATACACTTTTATATTTAAAACAATGATTTTAATATTCTTCCTTTTTTTTTTTTTTTTTTTTTTTTTTTTTAGTGGTGGTGGTGTTGAGACAAGAGTTTCCCTCTGTTGCCCAGGCTGGAGTGCAGTGGCACGCCATCTCAGCTCTCTGCAACATCCACCTCCTGGCTCAAGTGATTCTCATGTCTCAGCCTCCCAAGTAGCTGGAATTACAGGCATGCACCACCATGCCTGGCTAATTTTTGTATTTTTAGTACAGATGGGGTTTCCCTATGTTGGCCAGGCTGGTCTTGAACTCCTGACCTCAAACAATCTACCTGCCTTGGCCTCCCAAAGTGCTGGGATTACAGGCATGAGCCACTGTGACCAGCCTTAATGTTATTCTTCTAATAGCTCAGCTACTTTTCCTTAAAATATCTTTTTCTCTGCAAAGCCTTCATATAATTGTTATTATAACAGTGATGATGACTGCCACTCATTACAACTGCTGTTGTTAATCTTTGTTGTTATTTTAAACCATAACAATATATGCATCATAAAAGCAGTTTCTTTCTAATCCATGATGACACCTGCTAGCCAGGTATCGTATCAATTCTTCACAGGTCATCCATTTTGGAGTATATTTAGAAACTATATTCATTATGATTTTTTTTATTTAGAATATTCAGAAACATCTGCTGAGAGCAAATTCTTTAGACTTGGACTTTAAAATAAACCCTCTAACATTCTGTGAGCCAAAGGCCATCTTGCAAGGGTTTAGTGGAATTTTTTTTTTTTTTTGGAGACAAAGTCTCGCTCTGTCACCCAGTCTGGAGGGCAGTGGCACGATCTTGGCTCACTGCAACCTCCACCTCCTGGGTTCAAGCGATTCTTCTGCCTCCCAAGTAGCTGGGACTACGGGTGCCCACCACCATGCCCAGCTAATTTTTGTATTTTTAGTAGAGACAGGGTTTCACCATGTTGGCCAGACTGGTCTCAAACTCCTGACCTCAAGTGATCTGCCCACCTCGCCCTCCCAAAGTGCAGGGATTACAGGCATGAGCCACCGCGCCTGGCCTAGTGGGATCTTTCTGATGCTTCAAAGACTCGCAGGTACCTAACTACTCACTCTAGGGCTGGAAAGGGCAGCTGCTCTGCCCAGGAAGGGACACAGCTTCTCTGCTGGAGGGAAAGCAGCAGAATCACCAGTGCCCCTGAACTCAGCACACCAGGAACCTCAGTGCTGATTTCTGCACCCAGAGTGGGAAGCTTGTTCAAAAGTGTTTTTTTGGCTACGTGATTATTTGTGGTGATATTTTTACTTACAAAGCAAATTCAATAAGCCTTTTAGAAAGTTTTTTGTACCATTTAAAGTGTGTTTCCAGAGCATTCAGGCGTATGAAGAGGATGTATCCTATATCTTGTTAACTTGCTCTGTTGCTTCTTGCTTTAGATAAGTTTCTTTTTCTTTTTTTTTTTTTTTTGAGGCAGAGTCTTGCTCTGTCACCCAGGCTGGCGTGCAGTGCTCACTGCAACCGCCACCTCCTGGGTTCAAGCGATTTTCCTGCCTCAGCCTCCCGAGTAGCTGGGATTACAGGCATGCACCACCACGCCCGGCTAATTTTTTAATTTTTATTAGAGATGGGGTTTCACCATGTTGGTCAGGCTAGTCTCACACTCTTGACCTCATGATCTGCCTACCTCAGCCTCCCAGAGTGCTGGGATTACAGGCATGAGCCACCACGCCCAGCCTAGATAAATTTCTTAAATCCTCTCTAACTGGTTTTGTTATCTTTAAAACTATTTTCAACCCAATCAGGTTAGAAACAAAAATATTTTGATCTAGTATAGGTGAAGTTGTGAAGATGGATTACGGAAGATATTGAAAGAATTGATATTTTTATTGGGCACTATCAACTCATGAGGTCAGTATTGCTCCAGGGATTGTGTTTTAAGTCCATGTGATTTTTGTCACCCCTCAGCCCTGCATCTGGCCTGTGCAGGTCAGCACTTGGCCTGTGCCAAGTTTCTCCTGCAGTCGGGACTGAAGGATTCTGAAGACATCACGGGCACCCTGGCTCAGCAGCTCCCAAGGAGAGCAGATGTCCTTCAGGGCTCTGGCCATAGCGCAATGACATAAGGATGTTTCCAAGAGGAGGCAATAAAGTGCATGGTAATTCATATCCTGCTTCTTAAGTCAGTCACAGATTCAGCGAAACCAGTTGGAAGCCAGTTTTCCATCTCCTCCACTTCCTCCCTTCCCTCATCCTGCATGTTCCACTCCTGCTGAGGAGTTCCCAGTGATCAGGGGGCTGAGTTCCCAGCTCCATGACAGGCACATTATGGAGTCCCAAGCACAGTCATAATCTTCCCGTAGTCCATATTTCACTCTTTGTACTCTTAAAGTAGAATAGATAACGTTTGCGCGATCAGGCTGTGGGATCCTTAGAGAAGCATGTACCATGCATGAATATAATATAGCATACACACTTTCACAAACATATGAAATATCTTATAGTAACTGCTGCATGGTAAGGCTGTGATAATAATAACAAAAATATCACATACGTTGCTATTAGCTTGAGCTATAAAATGCAGTTGGCCCATTTAATTTCTTCCTTCATAAGCTTTTACTTGGCCATTACAATGGTTCACTTTTGGTTTCGTAGCCAAGAAGGACATACTTATAATCTGTTTACACAGGCATTTACAAGAAATTAATAAAAACTTTTATATATTCTAAGCACTGCTAGTTAAGCTATCAAGTTTTAATCTTGAGGGTTTTTGTTTGTTTTAATAGATAAATTCAGTATTGACCCCCTTCAAGTAATAAATACATGTAAAAAATGTAACTAAGGACCGGGCATGGTGGCCCGTGCCTGTAATCCCAGCACTTTGGGAGGCTGAGGCAGACAGATCACTTGAGGCCGGGAGTTCAAGACCAGCCTGGCCAACATGATAAAACCTCATCTCTACTAAAAATACAAAAATTAGCCAGCTGTGCTGGTGCATGCCTGTAGTCCCAGCTACCAGTGAGGCTGAGGCCCGAGAATTGCCTGAACCCAGGAGGCAGAGGTTGCAGTGAGCTGAGATAGCGCCACTGCACTCCAGCCTGGGCGACAGAGCATGACTCCGTCTCAAAAAAAAAAAGAAAAAAAGAAAATGTAACTAAGATATTTACAAAACTTCTGTTAACCTGAGTTTAAGAATGGGGTTTTGTCTTTAAAACCCATTTTTCTGGCCTGTCCCATCCACCCACGGAAGCCTGTGACTTAAGGAATGAAACACTTGACATTTAGCTTTAAAAAATATTATAGCCTCTTAAACGGAGTAAAGATAGGATGAGTCCTCAGGCATTTAGATTCTTTTTCTACTTTTTTTTCCTTTTCTTTCTTTTCCTTTTTTGATCCTTCTCTCTGAATTGCAAAGAATAATTATTAGTCTAGATCAGGCTTTTTAATCATTGTATGCATCAGTCACAAGCAACATTGAATCCTCTTATTCAGTGTGATCCAGTAAGTGCTTATTACACACCCACCTTACTCTCAGCGTTGGGCTCGGTTTGGCACAGAGCAAGAATTTCCCGTTCGTCTTAATTATTCCCAGATGGCATCAGCGGATTCCTGTTTCTAACCACCAAATCAGTGTTCTGGTAGAAACACTCCTGTCTTGTGACCTCTAAATTACACACTCTCCATCTGCACTGATTTGAGATGTAGTTACCACTTTTCTGTTCCTCCAGAGATGCCTGCGTCAATGCCCTCTAGGTCTGAAGATGGTCCTGTTGTGCGGCTATTTCACGTGTACAGGTGGGACTGAAAGATCAGTCTGGGACTGCCCTCTTTCCCCTCAGCACACACATGAGCAGCTTTGTGTTTGCAGCAGCTGCGTGCACGATCAGCTTCCACTTGGCTTTGCTTCTGCCCTTACAAACCAGCTGATGATGATGACACAGCATGTTACACTGTTGTCCCCGGTTTTCCTAGATTCCACGCACCTTTGTAATAGAAACCGTGGTTACTGGATGCCACTGCTGAAACTACTAAACACCCAGAGATGGCAGTGATTATAAGAACATTAATCGTGGGCTGGGCGCGGTGGCTCATGCCTGTAATCCCAACACTTTGGGAGGCTGAGGTGGGTGGATCACCTGAGGTCAGGAGTTCAAGACCTGCCTGGCCAACATGGTGAAACCCAGTTTCTTCTAAAAATACAACAATTAGCCCGGCGTGGTGGCATGCGCCTGTAATCCCAGCTACTTGGGAGGCTGAGGCAGGAGAATCGCTTTAACTCCGGAGGCGGAGGTTGCAGTGAGCCGAGATCGTGCCACTGTACTCCAGCCTGGGTGACAGAGCAAGACTCCATCTCAAAACAAAACAAAACAAAAAAATTAGCCTGGCATGGTGGCAGGCGCCTGTAATCCCAGTTACTTGAGAGGCTAAGGCAGGAGAATCGCTTGAATCTGGGAGGCAGAGGTTGCAGTGAGCCGAGATTGCACTACTGCACTCCAGCCTGGGTGACAGAATGAGACTCTGTCTCAAAAAAAAAAAAAAAAAGAACATTAATTGCAGCAAAGAGAGTAGCAATAATAGAATAATAACCAGATGTTTCCATAACAATAATATATGAAGAATGCTCTGGCAATGATAACTAATATTTTTCTATTACTCCCTAATTATAGTTACTTTACTCACCTCCTTTGGGTCTTTACCTACAAGCCACCTTCTCAGCGAGGCCTGCCCAGGCCACCCTATCTAAAATTGTGTCCTTTTCTTCAACATTTGATATCTTCTTTCCCCAGTTTATTTTTTCTTCTTAGCATTTGCTATTAGCAAATGTACCATATAATTTATTTATTTTGTTGATTGTTTTTCTCCCCGACTGGTATGCAGGCTCCTTGGACTGATTTTTGTCATTTAAATTTAAAATTATTATATAGTTAATGAATGGGCGATAAAAGCCCTTTATGTGCATTGAGCACTTAGTAAATGCGAGATAGTGTGCTAAGCCCTTACCTAGATTGTCTCATTTTGTCCTCTGACTCTTGCACCCTGCAGCCCCTTCTCATTATTATTCCCTCTGGAGCATCTTTTCCCATACACACTTTCATGAAGAGTCTCTACTTGATACCCTCAGCTCATAGGCACCTCCCACCCCCCGCAGTCTGGCGTCGTTGTTGCTGCTCTGTGCAGACTCTTCCTTTCAGATACCAGTGACGTCCTGCTTGCCATTTCAAGTGATGTACTTTTAGCCCTTAGATTACTGACCCTTTCAGTTCACTTACTGATCACTACCCCTTCTGGACTGTTGCCACATGCAATAATGCACTCCTGGGTTTTTCTTTCTGCCTTTTCCTTCTCTGCCTCTGCACTCCTCTGTCAGGCTGGCCCTCCGTGCTCATGCGTACCAGCTTCTGTCTCCAGCATCTCCGTCATTCTGGATTTTCTCCTGAAGCGTTGTCGTCCATGCCTCGGGTTTCAGCTACACCCTAATGTCAGTAACACTCAGATCTCTCTCTAGCCCTTACTTTCCACTGCCTGCTTACGTTTCTGCATGGATGTTCTGAGGCCATCTCACATTCAGTTTATTCAAAACCCAGCCTTCCCCACAACCCACTGACATACAGGCCTGCATTCCTGCCTTGGTTGGTGGCATCACAGCTCACCCAACCTGTGTTGGAAAGCTGGGGGTCAGTCATGACTCCTCCCTCTTAAGGAGTCCCTGCAGAGGACAGCTGCTGGGCGGCTCTCTAATCTGCCTGTTCCACACCATCCCTACTGCGACTCCTGCCCAAGCTCTCTCACTCTCCTCCTAGAGAGTGGCAGCCATGTCTTAAATACACCTCTCCAAGTCCTCAAATCCACCCTCCACATGGCTGCCAGGGCGTTCTCACTAATGTGACCAAGGGCATTGATTGCCAATTGTGGCTTAACCTGCCTCCCAGAGCACGTACTACACTTGCCAGGATTTCTGATTGCCTTAACTAACACCCACTTCCACCAGGGCTGTCAGCTTGTCCTAAAAGCACACCCGCTCCCATGGTGAGTGTGTGTTACTAAGCTCAATCAAAGCAGAAGTCTCGCCCAGGCACGATGGCTTACACCTGTAGTCCCAGTATTATGGGAGGCTGAGGCAGGCAGATCACAAGGTCAGGAGATCGAGACCATCCTGGCCAACATGGTGAAATCCCGTCTTTACTAAAAATACAAAAATTAGCCAGGCGTGGTGGCACCCGCCTGTAATCCCAGCTACTTGGGAGGCTGAGGCAGGAGAATCACTGGAACCCGGGAGTTGGAGGTTGCAGTGAACCAAGATCACCACTGCACTCCAGCCTGGCAACAGAGCGAGACGCCGTCTCAAAAAAAAAAAGCAGAAGTCGCTGAAAAGAGATGCAAAGAGGTAAAAATTGTAATGACCTGAAAATAGCGAGGACCTAACATATATTACCAAAAAAACTTACACGAGAAAATACACAAGACAAGAGGGAAAGGATCACAAAATGGAAACGAGATGGCAAAAGTCAGGCTAAAGAAGCTGGAGGGAACTATAGGGAGGGTGCTCAGACAGTGAGAAGAGGGAGGAGCAAGCACTGAATTTAATTTAACCCAGGACGTTGCTAGAATCCACCAGCAGGTGGCAGACCAGAAAAATGTCCCTTTTAATCTCCCAGACTTTTGTTTGTAAGGCCTATTGTAAAATACAGAAGATAGTAAAGGAGAAAACAAAAATAATCTATAGTTCCACCACCCAGATGGAACCACTCTTATTTTCCCTTAGTCTTTAAAAATGCATATAGGGCTGAGCACGGTGGCCCCTACCTATAATCCCAGCACTTTGGGAGGCCGAGGCGGGCAGATCACTTGAGGTCAGGAGTTCAAGACTAGCCTGGCTAATATGGTGAAACCCCATCTCTGCTAAACATACAAAAATTGTCCAGGCGTGCTGGGGACGGTGGCTCATGCCTGTTATCCCAGCACTTTGGGAGGCCGAGGCGGGCGGATCATGATGTCTGGAGATCGAGACCATCCTGGCTAACACAGTGAAACCCTGTCTGTACTAAAAATACAAAAAAGTTAGCTGGGCATGGTGGCATGCGACTGTAGTTCCAGCTGCTTGGGAGGCTGAGGCAGGAGAATTGCTTAAACCCGGGAGGCGGAGGTTGCAGTGAGCTGAGATCATGTCACTGCACTCCAGCCTGGGCGACAGAGCAAGACTCTGTCTCAGAAAAAAAAAAAAAAAAAGATTAGCCAGGTGTGGTGGGGCACACCTGTAGTCCCAGCTGCTTGGAAGGCTGAGGCATAGAATCGCTTGAACCCAGGAGGCAGAGGCTGCAGTGAGCCGAGATCACACCACTGCACTCCAGCCTGGGTGACAGAGTGAGACTCCCTCTCAAGAAATAAAAAATAAAATGCAGGGCCGGGCGCGGTGGCTCACGCCTGTAATGCCAGCACTTTGGGAGGCCAAGGGGGGCAGATCACGAGGTCAGGAAATTAAGACCATCTTGGCTAACACGGTGAAATCCCGTCTCTACTAAAAATACAAAAAATTAGCCGGGTGTGGTGGCGGGCGCCTGTAGTCCTAGCTACTCGAGAGGCTGAGGCAGGAGTATGGCGTGAATCCAGGAGGTGGAGCTTGCAGTGAGCTGAGATCGCGCCACTGCACTCCAGCCTGGGCAACAGAGTGAGATTCCATCTCAAAAAAAATACCTACATAAAAAATAAATAAAATGCATACGGTTGAGCTGATGCTGCACGTGCAGTTTTTCCCTTAACTTTGTTTATTTATTTATTTTGGAGACAGTCTTGCTGTGTCACCCAGGCCGGGGTATAGTGGCGTAATCTCGGCTCACTGCAGCCTGCACCTCCTGGGTTCAAGCAATTCTCATACCTCAGCCTCCTGAGTAGCTGGGATTACAGGCGCCCTCCACCATGCCTGGCTAATTTTTGTATTTTTAGTAGAGACAGGGTTTCACCATGTTGGCCAGGCTGGTCTCAAACTCCTGACCTCGAGTGATGCGCCCGCCTCAGCCTCCCAAAGTGCTAGGTTTACAGGTGTGAGCCACCACACTTGGCCCTCTAACTTTATTTTACAAGCAAATCCTAATGCTCTTTAAAACTTTGTGAATGTCGTGTTTCATGGCCGTCTTATGCTCCATCGTATTACTGTCCATATTGAGTCTTGTGTGTTGCCTCTTTCATTGGTTTCCGTTTTTTTAAGATGTAGACAGAGTAATCTCTGTCAAATTCAACTGGAGGCAAGGGCGGCAGGTTGGGGACAGAAACGGCTGTTGGATTTGATCACTGGAGGTTGGGCCATGCGAGTGGGTGGGAGATATGGGCTGCACAGGGGCCTGAGCAACTCTCTGCACCCTTGGCTGCATTGTGTGGTGAAGGAAAGGAAAGAAGAAAGCAGTTTGACAGGACAGTAGTTTTCTCCGAGAGGGTGAGTGAGGGGATGAGCATGTGGCATGTTTACAGACTGGGAAAGGAGCCCACAGAGGGAGGAAGCCAGCGGTGAGGGAGTGAGGGCTCTGTGGGATAAGGCTCTTCGGAAGGTGTGGGAAGTAGGCTTAGAAGCCCTTGGGGAGCTCAGCTCCAGATGCAGAAGGAGAGTTTCCTTCTCAGAGGCATGAAGGAAAGAAGAAGGGCAAGAAGGAAGAAAAGTTCAGGGCAGAGCCCACGTGGGCGCCTCATTCAATGCCAGTATCTAGGAGGGTGGGGGATTTGTGGAGCACATTTATTACGTTTCCTACAAGAATGGATAATAATGTGGACTTACATTTGGCAGTTTTTACACTTTTTTAAATTACACTCTTTCAGTTGGAAAGAGTGATGTGGTGTGATATTTATTTATTTATTTATTTATTTATTTATTTATTTATTTGAGTTGGAGTCTAGCTCTGTCGCCCAGGCTAGAGTGCAATGGCTCAATCTCGGCTCACAGCAACCTCTGCCTCCCGGGTTCAAGCGATTCTCCTGCCTCAGCCTCCTGAGTAGCTGGGATTACAGGCGTGCGCCTCCACACCTGGCTAATTTTTCTATTTTTAGTAGAGACAGGGTTTCTCCATGTTGGTCAGGCTGGTCTCGAACTCCCAACCTCAGGTGATCCGCCCACCTTGGCCTCCCAAAGTGCTGGGATTACAGGCGTGAACCACCAAGCCTGGCTGCGTGACATGATTTTTACTGAGAAGGAAACAAGATGGGAGTGAGGGCTGGCCTCTGCCAATCGTGGTGACGACAGGGACTTGATTGGCCTGTGTGATTAACCCACCCTGCAGCATTTGCAGAACCTGCCTCCTCCTACCATGCTGAAAATGTGATTGACTTGATACTGAGGACAGGCCTGGGCGCTCCTGGGAAAGCACGGGGAGTGGATGCATTTATCGGCCCATGCTCTGTGCAGCTTCTGGCCTGAGCACAGCAACAGGAGGGTTCTGCAGGCATTTCAACCAACATGACACCTCTCCTGGCTTCACCACAGGTGAACCAGGTCTCTTGTTACTCTTCCTACTCTGGAAGGCCCAAAGCATCCTGAAGGGGAGTGACACCCTGGGGGTAATTGAAACAACATTTTAAAAATAGCAATGGCCAGGCACGTGGCTCACGCCTGTAATCCCAACACTTTGGGAGGCCAAGGCGGGCAGATGGCTTGAGACCAGCCTGGACAACATGGTGAGACCCTGCCTCTACAAAAAATACAAAAAATTAGCTGGGCGTGGTGTGCCTGTAGTCCCAGCTACCAAGGAAGCTGAGGTGGGAGAATTCCTTGAGCCCAGGAGGTCAAGGCTGCAGTGAGCTATGATTGCACTTTTGTATTCCAGCCTGGGTGACAGAGCAAAACCCTGTTTCAAAAAAAAAAAAAAAAAGCAGTAGGGAGGGAATGAGGACTGGCTGGTGCCCGGGCAGAGTCGCAGGGAAGAGAGGCCAAGAGCCAACGCTGACCTCACTGTGCGGGTGCACTGGGGGCCCCTGCGAAGCTGACCTCACTGCGCAGGTGCACTGGGGGCCTCCGTGAAGGGGTCGGTGAGGAGCTGGACAAAGATCAGAGCAGGTTTGAGAGAGAATGGGAAGGCAGAACCTGGAGCTTGCAAATGAAGCAGTGGAGAGGGATGTGGATCGATGTTTTGGTTTTTTTAATGGAGCAGATTACAGTTTACAGATTGCTGAGAGAATGGTCCAACAGAAAGTGAGGAGGAGGAATGAGTCTAATGTCTGTACGAAGCAACTAGAGTCTTGTTAAAATGCAGATTCCTTCAAACCTAGGGATCCTGAAAAAAAGAAAAATGCAGATTCTCAGAGGGAGAGAGTCCAGGGGTGCGGGGGCCAGTCAAAAAAACTACCTACTGGATACCATGCTAAGTGATGCGATCCTTACTGCAGACCTCAGCATCACGCGATATACCCAGGTAACAAACCTGCACATGTACCCCCTGTATTTAAAATAAAAGTTGAAATTAGAAACTATTAAAGATGCAGATTCCCACCCACCCACCCCTCCCCCCAGCAACCCCCAGCTGCTTCCAGCTAGTTCCCAGGGGCGGCCATAGCTGCTGCATTGAGTAGCTTCTTGTGCATGAGGAGAAATACTCGCGTTCACCCTGCCGGTTCCTCCCCAGCCTCAAGAGGGAAAGCTGAGCAGAAGGGTGCTGAGCAGGAGCTGGGGCCCTTGGTGCTGGGAAACACCAAGCTGTCTTCTAGGTGCTTCGACTTCTCAGTGAAATAGGAAAGCAGGTGATCAGCTGAGAGTGAGGATGTGGTATGGGAGGTCTGACGAGTTAGGGAAGGGTGAAATAGTCCATTAGGGGAGCAAAGGCCTGGGCAGTGCTTCTCAGGCCCCCACCTTGCTGGACACAGGTGGCTGGGCAGCCCCAGAGAGCTGGGCCTGTAGGTCCAGGGTGGACTCTAGGAATTTGCATTTCCTTTGTTCTTTTCCTTTTTGTAATGGTTTTACTGAGGTATAATTGGTACACAAAGCTGCACATCCTTGATATATACAGTTTGATTAATTCAGACATATTTGTGCTCCCAGGAAACTATCACCACGGCCAAGGCAATAAACACATCCCTCGCCTCCAAAAGCAGGGTATCTAATCTTTTGTCTCCCTTGGGCCACATTGGAAGAAGAATGATTGTCTTGGGCCACACATAAACTACACTATCACTAAAGATAGCTGATGAGCTTTAAAAAAAAAAATCGCAAAACATCTCAATGTTTTAAGAAAATTTACAAATTTGTGTTGGGCCACATTCAAAGCCACCTGGGCCACAGGTTGGACAAACTTGTCCAAAAGTTTCTTCCCGCACCTTTGCTTTCTTTGTCTTTTTGTGGTATTGTGTCCAGAATTTATTCCTTCTGGTGGGTTCTTGGTCTTGCTGACTTCAAGAATGAAGCCACAGACCTTGCGGTGAGTGTTATGATCTTAAAGATGGTACATTCAGAGTTGTTTGTTCCTCCTGGTGGGTTCGTGGTCTTGCTGACTTAAGGAATGAAGCCGCAGACCCTCGCAGTGAATGTTACAGCTCTTAAGGGTGGCGTGGGCCCAAAGAGTGAGTAGCAGCAAGATTTGTTATGAAGAGCAAAAGAACAAAGCTTCCACAGCGTGGAAGGGGACCCGAGTGGGTTGCCGCTGCTGGCTGGGGGTGGCCAGCTTTTATTCCCTTACTTGTCCCCACCCACATCCTGCTGATTGGTCCATTTTACAGAGTGCTGATTGGTGTGTTTACAATCCTTTAGCTAGACACAGAGCGCTGATTGGTGCATTTTTATAGAGTGCTGATTGGTGCATTTACAGTCCTTTAGCTAGACAGAAAAGTTCTCCAAGTCCCCACTTGATCCAGGAAATCCAGCTGGCTTCACCTCTCAACCCACCCTCTAAACGGAACACCCCAACTGCTACTGGGAATTGGGTGATGACCATTCTAGCTACTTCCTGCTGGATAGGGGCAAAGAAGGGTCCCTGCAGTTGTAGTGTCCTCTAGAGGGGAACTCTTTAGGCCAGTCAAAGGGCCAGCAGTTTGGTCCAGGGGTCCTCAGTAGAAGTTAGTTGAGCTCATTTGGGGTTCCATTTGTAAGACCATCTGTAGCTTGATGGCCTCGATCCTAGAGGAAACAAATTTGACAAAGAGGTTAAAAATACAGGGCCCAAAGGTGAGTAATAGCAAGATGGATGTCACGGGACCTAGAAAGGGGAGAAGTCATGTCACCCAACTCCAGAGGTTGGTATAAGAGTTTGAAAGGCGTTGTCTGATTTCAGAAGCCTTTTCCTGTAAACGCCAGGCGGCATCTCGTACTATCCCTGCCTGGTTAGTGTAAAAGCAACACTCTTCCCCTAAGAAGGTGCAAAGTCCTCCTTTCTCAGCAGTGAGGAGGTCCAAGCCTCGGCAGTTTTGGAGAGTCGCTGCTGCCAAAGAGTCTATTTGGGATCGTAGTTACTATCCTTACTGGATAGATTTTGTTATTTCTTGCAAGCTGTCTGAGAAATCCTTTGAGAGTGTGTGGTAGTAGGATAATGAAGTAGATAAACTGGCTATTCCGGTTCCTGTAGCAGTGGCCATTCCTAACCCTATAAGTAGGGGTATTAGTGGATGGCTCTGCACTGATGGACTTGAGCTTTGAGGGGCGCTGATAGGGTCTGATTTCCATAAGATTAGAGGTTAGGATAATACATGTTACACTGTTAAATTTTAGCAAACTTTACTTTTGTTGAAAACCTTATAAGTTTGGGATTTTAATTTTTCTTTGCTATTAATAAAACCTCGTTCAGTCCATATTATCTTAGAAATGGTATAGATGGCTTCTTCCTGATTCTGTAAGTACTTTAAAGTTTGGCTGAGTGCCAATAGCTCGCAGGTTTGAGCAGACCAATTATTAGGCAATTTTCCTAACTCTGTTTCTTCAAGAGTTTCCTTATCACTTACTGAATACCCATTGTGTCTTTTTTCCTTAATCTCCGGGGAGGAACCATCTATGGTCCTGTCCTGAAGGAGTTCCTCCTAGGTCTGGTTGGACCTTTGTATGGTAATTAGTTAAGAGTTAGATCCCCTGTTAGGAAACCTGCTGGGTTAAGGATTTTTGATAGGAAGGCTATGGGTTGTCAGTGGCCTCAGTACTTTCAGGCTACGCCCTTGCTTACACTGATAACAAGGTGGTATTGGAGTGTTATAGGGTAACAGAGAAGACCTTCAATTATCAATTATAGGTTTTAAATTTACCCTGGCTTTTAAAGGAATAGGGTACACTGTTTTTTCTTTACTATTTCCATCTCTCTTTCTTTCTCTTTGACTTCTTCTTTGTCTTTCTCTCTCCTTCTGACTCCCTCTTTGTCTCTCCCTCTCTTTCTTTGACTTTCTGTTTCTCTCTCTCTGACTCTTCTTTGTCTGTCTCTTCCTCTCTCTCCTTCTCTCTTTGACTTTCAGCCTCTCTGTCTCTTCCTCTCTCTGTCTCCCTCTTTGACTCCTTTGTCTCTGTCTCTTCCTCTCTTTCTCTCTGTCTGTCTCTTTCTCTCCTTCCTTTCTGCTGGTCTTTCCCTGCCTCTGCCAGCCACTTACGCTGCTGTTCTCCCCTCTCCTTCCCCTTTTTGATGGCTTCGGCGGTGTAAGACTGCCACCTCCTTGGGTTTTTGCACTGCGTGCAATAACTCCATGATTTCCTTGTGATATTTAATGTGGTTCCCCAGAGGTTAGGAACCCCCTTTCTTTCCATATTGCAGCATGGGCATGTAGGATTAGATAAGCATACTTGCTATCTGTATACACATTTATTCTCCTTTCCTTTCCCAGTTCTAAGGCTCGGGTAAGTGCCACTAGTTCTGCTAACTGGGCACTGGTCCCTGGGGAAGAGACTTACTTTCAAGTACTGTTACATCACTAACAATGGCATAACCTGCCCTTCGTATCCAATTCTCCACCACAAATGAACTTTCATCAGTATATAGATTAAGGTCAGGATTAACTAAGGGGACTTCTAAGAATTCATCTCGGGCAGCATAAGTCTGGACTATAACTTGTTGGCAGTCATGCTCGATCGGTTCCCCATCCTCTGGGAGAAAAGTGGCAGGGTTGAGGGCCGCACACGTATGTATTTGAAGCACTGGTCCCTCAAGGAGTAGTGCCTGGTATCTAGGTAGGCGGTTGTCTGATAGCCATAACTTCCTTTGGCACCTATTATGCCATTTACATCATGAGTAGTCCAGACAGTGAGATCCTTTCCTTGTATTATTTTGATAGCCTCTAACACTGAGACGGCCACCGCTGCAACTACCCATAAACAGTGAGGCCAGCCTTTTGCTACTATATCAGTTTCCTTACTTAGGTATGCCACTGGTTGTGGGGTTGTCCCATGAGTCTGAGTAAGGACCCCAAGAGCTATTTCTGCTCTCTCTGTGATGTATAAAGAGAAGTTTTGTCCTGTGGGAAGGCTTAAGGCTGGAGCTTGAGTTTGTTCCTTCCAATGCCCAGACTTCAGGGTTGATTCCCTCCTCAAGCAGGGGACAACAAATCAGTAACTCGTTCCCCATATTCATGTAGATAATAGCTCCAGCTTTGGCTAATATGTCCCTCCCTAATAAGGGTGTGGAACTTTCAGGCATAACAAGAAAGTCATGTGAAAAGAGCAAAGCATCCGAATTACAACTGAGGAGGTGGGAGAAATACCTGGTTATAGGCTGTCCCAGGATTCCTTGGATGGTAACAGACCTTGAGGACAGCTGTCTGGGACAGGAGATTAACACTGAGCCTCAGATGGTAACAGACCTCAAGGACAGCTGTCTGGGACAGGAGATTAACACTGAGAAAGCCATGCCACTGTCCAGGAGGAAGTCGATTTCCTGGCCCTCAATAGTTAAACATACCTGGGGCTCAGTGAGGGTGATGACATGAGCTGGCGCTTGCCCTGGGCACCCTCGGTCCTGTTGTTGGATCATCTGGTTGGGGGCTTCTGGCCCAGAGAACCTTTGTCCTCTGGGGCAGTGCACCTTCCAGTGATTGCCTCGGCATAGTGGACATGGGCGAGGGGGCAGCTTGTTTCTTGTTGGACAGTCTTTTTTAAGGTGTCCTTGCAAACCACACTGGTAACAAGCCCTACCAGGTGATTGGCCTGCTCCATTTTCTGTGCTCTCTGAACCACCAAGGTTGGTTTGTCTGAGGGCCATGACTAAGGCTGCAGCCTTTCTCTGATCTAACGTTTCCTTTTCAGCCTGTTCCTCTTGGTCCTTATCATAGAACACAGAGGTTGCCAGGTTTAATAATGCCTCCAGATTTTGTTCAGGGCCCAGGGCTCGCTTTTGGAGCTCTCTCCTGATATCTGTGGCTGATTGGATAATAAACTTACCTTTTAGGATCAATTGACCCTCGAGTGAGTCGGGCGACAGGGGAGTATATTTTCTTAAGGCCTCCCGTAGCCGCTCGAGGAAGGCAGAAGGATTTTCTTCCTTTCCCTGAGTTATGGTGGACATCATCAAATAATTCACAGGCTTTTTCCTAATTCTCCTTTGTCCTTCTAGAACACAGATCAGCAGATGTTTACAACTCCAGTACCCATGGTCTGAGTTGAGGTCCCACTGGAGATCCATAATGGGGACGGCTTGCTGACCAGTAGGGAATTTGTCCCTTTCTTCGGCTGTCATTCTGTCATTTACTTGACTAAGATTCCAGGTATCTCCAAACTCTCGGGCTGCAGCTAAAGCCGCATTCTTTTCATTAAAGGCCAGGGTGTGATCTAGCAATAGCATGACATCTCTCCAGGTGAGATTGAAGGTTTGCCCTGGACCCTGTGGGACATCTATATACCTATCAGGATATATCTGAAAACTTACCCAGGTCTACCTTGATCTGCTTTAAATCAGAGAAGGAGAAGGGGACATGTACCCGGGTTGGGCCAAATTCCCCTCCCCATACAGCTTGAAAAGGACATAACCGATAGCAGGGGTGGGGGGGAGGTTGTGGTCCCTTGGAGATTTCTTTGCTTGTTTCCTTCTGGGCAGGGGAGGTTAGAGGAGGCTTATCATTAATAGGAAGGGGCTATAGGGAGGCTAGGATCTGGGGGTAAGCTGAGAAGTCCTCCTGTGGGATGTAAGTTGTAAGCTTTGCATAGTTGTGGATTCTCCTTAAAAGAAAGCTTGGACATAAGGTATTTCACTCCATTTGCCTTCTCCCTTACAGAAAAGGTCAAGCTGCAGGATAGTATTGTAATTTATACTTCCCTCAGGTGGCCATTTTTCCCCATCAGAGAGAGAATATTGGGGCCAGGCTGTAGTGCAGAAAAAAATGAGCCACCTCTTTTTCAGGGTTTGTGGGTCAAACTGGTCCCAATGGCTTAGATGCATTTCAAGGGTGAGCCTGTTGATGCCTGAGTGTTTCCCATCTGGGTCGCCAAAATGTATCCGGACTTTATTCCTTCTGGTGCGTTCTTGGTCTCACTGACTTCAACAATGAAGCCGTGGACCTCGCAGTGAGTGTTACAGTCTTAAAGATGGTGCATCCAGAGTTGTTTGTTCTTCCCAGTGGGTTTGTGGTCTTGCTGACTTCAGGAATGAAGCCGCAGACCCTCACGGTGAGTGTTATGGCTCTTAAAGTTGGTGTGGACCCAAAGAATGAGCAGCAGCAAGATTTATTATGAAGAACAAAAGAACAAAGCTTCCACAGTGTGGAAGGGGACCCAAGTGGGTTGCTGCTGCTGGCAGGGGGTGGCCAGCTTTTATTCTCTTATTTGTCCCCGCCCACGTCCTGCTGATTGGTCCATTTTACAGAGTGCTGATTGGTCCACTTTACAGCGTGCTGATTGGTATGTTTACAATCCTTTAGCTAGACACAGAGCGCTGATTGGTACATTTTTACAGAGTGCTGATTGGTGCATTTACAATCCTTTAGCTACACAGAAAAGTTCTCCAAGTCCCCATTTGACCCAGGAAGTCCAGCTGGCTTCACCTCTCAGTATGAACCTTTAATATGAGCTCTGCCCTCTAACTTTGTGAGCGTACAGCACAGTAACATTCACCTCAGGCCCAGTGCTGCCCACCCATCTGGAGGACTGATTCTTCTGGCACAGGGGAAACTTGATCTGAATTGAGAGCAGCTCCCCCTTCCCTCTCCTGTGGGATCTGCATGTCTCCCAAGTTCCACAGTAATGCTGGTGTGGACACTGCGTTGGGGAGGCCTCGTGTTGAAAGCCCATGGAGTCAGGGACGTGGCAGGATCACTGGCTGTATAGCAGCAGCTGAGGGTCCCTGTCCTGCAGTTTTCTCCACCACAGTCAGCTGCTCCGGGACAGTAGGTGGAAAGTCAGAATTCACTAAGATGGGGACTTTTCCAGGCAAACAGAGCAGAAGGGTCATTTAGCACAGTGTCTGGTACAGGGGAAATGCCCAAAACACACAGCTTGTTACTATCTAGCGCCAGCCTCCCCTTCCCTTCTCCCTTCCAACTGCGCATGGGACTCTCCCTCTCTGACTGTGCAGCATGTAGAGCCAGGCCCTGTAGCCAGCAGCCCTGAGTCCAGCTGTGGGACCTTGTGCTAGCTGCTTGCCCTCTCTGAGCTTCTGTTTCATCTGTAAACTGAGATGATAATAACTCTTTCTTCACAGAGTTGCTGGGAGCCTGAGCACCTTTCGTTTTTCGGCTCAGAGAAAGCCAAGTGCAACTTGCTTCAGTCATCCTGAACCTGAGTTCAACCAACCGCAGCCACCTACGTTTGACCCCAGCGAGATCAAAGTTGTATATCTGAGGTGTACCAGTGGTGAAGTCAGTGCCACATCTGCACTGGCCCCCAAGGTCAGCTCCCTGGGTCTGTCTCCAAAAATGGTTGCTGATGACATCACCAACCATTGACTGGAAGAGTCTGAGGATGATAGTGAAACTGACCAGCCACAGCAGACAGGCCCAGATTGAGGTGGTGCCTTCTGCCTCTGCCCTGATCGTCACAACCCTCAGGAACCACCGACAGAAAGAAAGAAACACAAAAACATGAAACACAGTGGTAGCACCACTTCTGATGAGATTGTCAACATTGCCTAACAGATGCAGCAGCAGTCTTTAGCCAGAGAACTCTCTGGAACCATTAAAGAATTCCTGGGGGCCGGTTGCGGTGGCTCATGCCTGTAATCCCAGCACTTTGGGAGGCCGAGGCGGGAGGATCATGAGGTCAGGAGATCGAGACCATCCTGGCTAACGTGGTGAAACCCCGTCTCTTACTAAAAATACAAAAAAATTAGCCAGGCATGGTGGTGGGCGCCTGTAGTCCCAGCTACTCAGGAGGCTGAGGCAGGAGAATGCTGTGAACCCTGGAGGCAGAGCTTGCAGTGAGCCGAATATGCGCCACTGCACTCCAGCCTGGGCAACAGAGCAAGACTCCGTCTCCAAAAAAAAAAAAAAAAAAAAAGAATTCCTGGGGCCTGCCCAGTCTGTGAGCTGCCATGTTGATAGTATCACAGATGATACCAACAGTGAAGCTGTGGAATGCCCAGCTAGTTAAAGAATGCAAAGGAAAATATTTTCACAAAGGGTTATCTGATAACCAAAAAAAAAAAAGACATTTCATCTAAGCCACTTAACACCGTGTCTGATGTGTAGTAAATAATAAATGTCAATGATTCTCAAAGAACCCAGGAATAGAAAAAGCATTTAATAAAAATTAGCTCTTGGCATAATCTCTTCATCCACACCCAGCAGAGTCGTCAGATGTCTTCCAGGTTCACAAGAATTAATTTCTCCGCCCCTGTTCCTGCTTTGCACTTTGTAGCAATTATCCCATGGTTCGCCTTATGTTAGAACTATTTATATAAGTGGTAGTCAAGGCCACTGAGTCATGCATCCCTGGAGGTCAGTTACTATTTCTTTTTATGAGTCAGAGTCACTCTGCCGCCCAGGCTGGAGTGCAGTGGTACGATCTCGGCTCACTGCAACCTCCGCCCCCTGGGTTCAAGTGATTTTTCTGCCTCAGCCTCCCAAGTAGCTGGGATTACAGGCTCCCACCACCGTGCGCGGCTAATTTTTGTATTTTTAGTAGAGACAGGGTTTCATCATGTTGGCCAGGCTGGTCTCAAACTCCTGACCTCAGGTGATCCAACCGTCTCAGCCTCCCAAAGTGCTGGGATTACAGGCGTGAGCCACCGCACCCCGCCTGGGTCAGTTACTGTATCTTACGCACCTTACAAACCCCAGAAGGCTGCACACAGCTCCTGCACATGGTATGCCTTCAAGGAATTACCCATGGATTTGAATAAGGTTATATATGATGTAACACTCATGCGCTTTATTTCATTTTTAATGAGTTTATATTCTAAAATATTTGCTTCTGGGGAAAAATAATTCAGACAGTACAAATAAAGATTATTCCAAATAGGATCATATAACACTCTTGCAACTTTAAACTGAGTGCATTGTTTCTCATTAGTTCTTTTTGTTTTGTTATTTTCATTTTCTCATTAGTTCTTAAAGATCTACCTCATTCTTTTTAACTTTGCATAATGTTGCATTCTTTCTGACATTCCATCTTTCAGATGTGCCACAATTTGTCTAAGCTGTTCCCTATTTCTGGACATTTTAGGACATTCTGGGGTTGTTTAAGTTATTATAAACAGCAGTGCCGGACACATCTTTGTGTCCTTATGGGAATGACTGGAAGATAAATTCCTAGAAGCGGATCAAAGGATCTGTCCATTTTTTTAGGTTGCCAACTGTATCAGCTACAGTTCAGTTAGCAGAGACTAGCGTTCATTGGAGCCAGCTTATGCAGAAGATTTGTTACGGGGTCCTGATGGTATGCAGAATTGTCAGGAAGGCTCGAGAACAAATCTCGTTGAACTTTCAGGGACGATATCAAGGGCTGTACTTCAGACCTAGGCCTCAAAAAGAAGTGCCTTTTCAATCAGGAAAATCTTTGCCAGTATAGGAAGCTGCTGCCTTCGCTTCCAACTCCAGAAGCTTGCTGTCTTCATCTGCTACAGTCGAGAGGCCAAATGATCAGAAAACACTCCACAGAAAATCACTTGCAGCCTTTGCCAGTGGAAGCAGAAATACGGCTTTCGCTTCTGCTTTCCGAAACTCAAGCAATTAGCAGAATCCAACTCACATCTCAAAATCTGGACCTAGGGGAGCCTGGGGCATGTAGCTGGTAACTTCCCTGTGTCTGCAGTGTGGGGCTCACATGCCCAGGAGGCTGGGATGGGTCTTGAGCACCACAGACATCGCTTTTGCCAAGATTCCTTCCCAGGCATACCCATCACCAAAGCTGTGTGGTATCGCACTTTTTTTTTTTTTTTGAGACGGCGTCTCACTCTCGCCCAGGCTGGAGTGCAGTGGCACAATCTCAGCTCACTGCAACCTCCATCACCTGGGTTCAAGCGATTCTCCTGCCTCAGCCTCCCAAGTAGCTAGGATTATAGGCGCACACCACCACTTCCAGCTAATTTTTGTATTTTAGTAGAGATGGGGTTTCACCATGTTGGCCAGGCTGGTCTCAAACTCCTGACCTCAGGTGATCCACCAGCCTCGGCCTCCCAAAGTGCTGGGATTACAGGCGTGAGCCACTGCGCCTGGCCACGGTATCACACTTTTAATGGCCACTAACATGATGTACTATCTCATGATTTTAATTTTGCATTTCTTTTTTTTTTTTTTTTTAAAGACAGGGTCCTGTTCTGTTGCCCAGACTGGAGTGCAGTGGTGTGACCATAGCTCACTGCAGCCTTGACCTCCTAGGCTCAAGCAACCTCGACCTCCTAGGCTCAAGCAATCCTCCCTTCTCAGCCTCCTGAGCAGCTGGGACCACAAGCACGCACCAGCTCGCCCAGCTAATTTTTAAAATTTATGTAGAGATTCCACTTTTATAGGGGGGTCTCACTGTGTTGGCCAGGCTGGTCTCGAACTCCTGGCCTTAAGCAGTCCTTTCACCTTGGCCTCCAAAAGTGTTGGGATTACAGGCATAAGCCACCACACCCGGCCTTGGCATTTCTCAATCAGATTGAAGATCTTTAGATTTGTTTTTTTGGCCATTATAGCCCTTTTTCCTATTTTTACCTGTATCAGTTAGCTGTTACTAAATGACAGACCACCCCAAAGCTCACTGGGTTGAAACAGGAGTCTGTAGGGCATCTGGGTGGCTTTGCTGCTCGCAACTGGGCTCACTCCTGCGTCCCGTCAGCCAGTGAGTTGCTGAGCTGGTATAGGATGGCCTTGGGTGGATCAAGCTGGCTCTGCTCCCCATGGTCTCTCCATTCGGCTAGCCCAGGCTTATTTTTCATGACAGTGGCAGAGATTCAAGAGAGAAAAGAGACTTAAATGTGCTTTCCAGTCTCCGCTCTGTTTGTGTAGATGCTTCCATCCCATTGGCCAAAGCAAGGCATGGTCATGCCCAGAATTAGTGTAGGGGGCAGAACCCACAGACTGGACACAGAGGCCATTGATTGGGGCCATTAATGAAACCAGTTCTTGCTTCATCTTTTGACCATTGTTTTGTCTTGTTGATTTGTAAGAGTCATTTTTATATTGGGTAAATTAGCTCTACACATAATTTCAAATAATGACAAAATTTGGGTTATACATTTACAAGTAAAAAAAAAAACAGACTACAGCACAGCAGAAATAATCTCCTTTATAGCTCCTTTAAAAAAAAAGAGCTCTTGTGAGTAGATACAGGCATACACAGGCACTCACTACAATGCTGGGAGTGGGATGGCACAGATTCCTTGGATATGATAGGGTGTTTCTATTTAGATTACAGTATGTGGTACCTTTAAAGCAGCTCTCAGAGTTCTAGAGCTTCCACCTGTGCCAGCCTACAACATGCATGGTCTTTATTTTTCCCAGTGTTGCTGAAAATCCACGATTAGCTAAAAGGTAAATGAACGCAAAAGACGTAGGAACAAAATCCAGCTTGTGGCTCGTCCTGTCCCTTGAACACAGAGCCTTGGGTCTACCACATCCTTTCCTCTCTTCCAGCTGATACAGACTTAGATAATTCCATTTTGTGATTTAATATTAGATGGAGGTGGGGTGGCTCACACCTGTAATCCCAGCACTTTGGGAGGCTGAGGCTGGAGGATGCCTTGAGCCCAGGAGTTCACAGCTGCAGTGAGCTATGATCACACCACTGCACTCCAGCCTAGGTGACTGAGTGAGACCCTGTCTCTAAATAAAGACCAAAAAATAACAGTGGACTAAACCAAAGTTTATTTTCTTTCCCGCATAAGAGTCTGGGCATAGCCAAGTACAGATGAGCTCAACCAGCCCCAGGTGTCAGCCCCCCGGTTCCTTCTGCTGGTTGTTCTGCTGTCCTGAGTAGGTTGCCCTTTTCCATGTGGTCCAAGATTGCTCCCCAACCTGTGGAGGGGAACAGGAATGAAGGGGAGGGCCAGGCGCAGTGGCTCACACCTGTAATCCCAGCACTCTGGGAGGCTGAGGCAGGTGGATCACTTGAGGCCAGAAGTTCGAGACCAGCCTGGCCAACATGGTGAAACCCTGCCTCTACTAAAAATACAAAAATTAGGCTGGGCACCGTGGCTCCTGCCTGTAATCCCAGCACTCTGGGAGGGTGAGATGGGTGGATCAGCTGAGGTCGGGACTTGGAGAGCAGCCTGACCAACATGGAAAAACCCCATCTCTACTAAAAATACAAAATTAGCCGGGCATGGTGGCACATGCCTGTAGTCCCAGCTACTCGGGAGGCTGAGGCAGGAGAATCTCCTGAACCTGGGAGGCGGAGGTTGCAGTGAGCCGAGATCGTGCCATTGCACTCCAGCCTGGGCAACAAGAGCGAAACTCCATCTCAAAACAAACAAACAAAAATTAGCTGGGCATGGTGGCACACACCTGTACTCCCAGCTACTTGGGAGGTTGAGGCAGGAGAATCGCCTGAACCCGGGAGGCAGAGATTACAGTGAGCTGAGATTGCATCTCTGCACTCCAGCCTGGGAGACAGAGTGAGACCCTGTCTCGAAAAAAATAAAATAAAAAAAATATATAAAAGAAAAAAGAATGAAAGGGAGGCTATGCATGCCCCCTTTTTTTCAGAAGGCATGTAGATCATTTCTGTTCACATCCTCCTGACCATAGATCAGTCATATGACTGCTAGAAGAAAATTGAAATTTAGGGATGGTTCAGGGCTTTGCCATATGCCCTTATCAGAGGTGCCTTCATTGAGACTATTTGGGGACAATTATCTGTGCAAGTCTTTGCTGCTGTCCCCACCCTTCCCCTAACACACACACTCCTTAACCTTAGCTTTTAAAGTCTTAGAGACCAGAGAGCAAATCCACTTATTTATAGATACGCAGTTGTAAGGGACATGAGAACAATCTGTGAAGATGGCATTCGGAGCAGAGAACAAGGCCGCATAGCCGTGTAGGGTGTTAGTCCCCTACAGTGATGCTCCAAGTGACCTCATGCAGGTCACACTCCCTGCCTCTCAGTGTCCTGGTAAACGATGGGCAAAATGGCACCTCCTTCCCAGGTTTACTGTGAGGATTAACCGAGTTGGTGTGTGTCAGACCCCGGTCCAGGTCCAGCCCATGCTGAAGTCCAAGGTGAGTGGGGTGGATGAGCAGAAACGCTTTGGTGCAGGGGGCCTAGGCAGGTGAATATGGTTTTATTCAGCAGCAGTTCTCATCAATGGCTTTTTATTAGCAGCTTACTCACATTAGCTCTCTCACCCTGTCCACCTTTATCTCTGCTATTTGCTTTGGCTCTGTGGCTCCTGTGACCCCCGGCTCTCCCTTGCCTTCAGGGTCAGCAGCTTAACTCTTTCTTTCTCTGGCACAAGCAAGCAGAGCTGTGTCCTGGCTCCCTCCTGTCTGTCTACAAGATGGACAGCTTTGGCTGTCTCCCTTTCTCTGGGCGCCAGCGCACCCACCACATCAAGCCATGTCGAGCCAAGCTGAGCCTCAAAAGCACCTGTACGGCGTCAGCAGGGCAGTTATACCTTTTACAGACAATAGTGGCTCAGAGCCAAGTATGAACTTACACAAACAGGTTATGTAACAAGCGGAGGTGTGCGCCTGCGCACCAAACTCACTGAGCCGTGCAGGCCTGTATATCCGCCTCGGTCTCTACCTTGACCAAATCACATCTATATACCTTACAGCGTGCATGATGCTTGGCCCAGCACGTGCACCCAACACGTGTGAGCCATTGTGAGTAACAGTCGCACCAGGTGAGCCTCTTTGGCTTAATGGGCTGAGTCGTCAAAGGCGAATGAAAATCATCAAGTTAGCAGCACAAGACCAAGAAGAGCTCAACTGAAGAAAGCAGTGAGACAAACACCATTTTTAGCCCCTTTTCCTACTTTTTCTCTTTCTCTTTCCCTCCCTGGGGATGTATGTCCTTAGCCCTTGGACGCCTCCATTGTCTTTATCAAAAAGAAAACTAGGTTTCAGTCTTCATTCATGCTAAGGTGTTAATGAAAAAATTTCAAATTTTATCAATCCTTGAGTTGTCTGCATTTTTTTTTTTTTGAGACAGGATTTCACTGTCAGGCTGGAGTGCAGGGGTGTGATCCCGGCTTACTGCAGCCTCTGACTCCTGAGTTCAAGCGATCTTCCTACCTCAGGCTCCCAAGTAGCTGGGACCACAGGCAGGCACCACCACACCTAGCTAATTATTTTTTTGTATTTTTTTTAGTAGAGACAGGGTTTCACCATGTTGCCCAGGCTGGTCTCAAACTCCTGGGCTCAAGTGATCTGCTCACCTCAGCCTCCCAAAGATATGAGCCACCATGCCCAGCCAATTGTCTGCATTTTAACAAGGATCAAATTATTAAACCGAAAGAATGAAGCTCTCAATATGAAATGCATGCGTCATTAAAAATGTAAAGAAGTATTTTCAAAAATGTATTCTAACTGGGCCTTCCTTCATATCTTTATTTGTATTTTTTGTTTTTTGTTTTTTTTGAGACATAGTCTCCCTCTGTCACCCAGGCTGAGTAGCACCAGGTGAGCCTCTTTGGCTTAATGGGCTGAGTCGTCAAAGGCGAATGAAAATCATCAAGTTACCAGCACAAGACCAAGAAGAGCTCAACTGAAGAAAGCAGTGAGACAAGCACCATTTTTAGCCCCTTTTCCTAGTTTTCTTTTGCTCCTTCCCTCCCTGGGGATGGAAGTGCAGTGGCATGACCTCGGTTCACTGCAACCTCCGCCTCCTGGGTTCAAGCCATTCTCATGCCTCCGCCTCCTGAGAAGCTGGTACACACACACTCAGGTGTGTGCCACCACACCTGGCTAATTTTTGTATTTTTAGTAGAGACGGGGTTTCACCATGTTGGACAGGCTGGTCTCAAACTCCTGGCTTCAAGCAATCCACCCACCTCAGCTTCCAAAGTGCTGGAATTACAGGCGTAAGCCACCGTGCCTGGTTTGTATCTTTATATTTGTTTATTTATTTTTTTTTTTTTTGAGACGGAGTTTCACTCTTGTTGCCCAGGTTGGAGTGCAATGACACAATCTCGGCTCACTGCAACCTCTGCCTCCTGGGTTCAAGCAATTCTCGTGCCTCAGCCTCCTGAGTAGCTGGGATTACAGGTGCCCGCCACCACGCACAGCTGATTTTGTATTTTCAGTAGAGACGGGGTTTCACCATGTTGGTCAGGCTGATCTCAAACTCCCTACCTCAGGTGATCCGCCCGCTTCCGCCTCCCAAAGTGCATTACAGGCATGAGCCATCACGCCTGGCTGGGTCTTTATAATTTTTTTATAATTAAGACATTTTCTGTCCCTTTCATGACTACATCTTGTTAATTCAATTTCTATTCAGCATCTCAAATAGGTCCACTTTCAACAAGCCCACCGACAGCCACTAGGCAACTCCAGCCATTGTCCTCTTGTTCCAGGTACTGTGGCTGCACAGCAAATTACCCCCAAATCTAGCCGTGTAAAGCAGCCCTTTGTTATGCTCATGGATTCTATGTATAGGAATTCAGACAGGGTCCAGCAGCGATGGCTTGTCTCTGCTCCCAGGGACTGGGGATTGCAGCTGGAAGATTTGAAGGCTGAAATCACCCATGTCTGGCAGATGCTGCTGGCTGACGACCTCAGTTCCTCCTCACATGGGCCTCTCCCTCGGTCTCTCCATGTGGGCTGGTGTGAGCTGAGAGAGAGGGAGGGAGCGCCAGGCAAGGCCATATTGCCTGTCATAGCCTAACTTTATTTATGTATTTATTTATTTATTTATTTTTTTGAGACAGGGTCTCGCTCTGTTGCCCGGGCTAGAGTGCAGTGGCACGACCTCAGCTCACTGCAACCTCTGCCTCCCTGGTTCAAGCAATTCTCCTGCCTCAACCTTCCAAGTAGCTGGAACTACAGACACATGCCACCACGCTTGGCTAATTTTTTTTGTATTTTTAGTAGAGACGGAGTTTTGCCATGTTGCCCAGGCTGGTCTCGAACTCCTGACCTCAGGTGATCTACCCACCTTGGCCTCCCAAAGTGCTCGGATTACATGTGTGAGCCACTGTGCCCAGCCTCATGGCCTCATAGTCTAGCTTTGAAACTCAGCTAGCCTGTGGTTCCATAGTGTAGTGGTTATCACATCTGCTTTACACGCAGAAGGTCCTGGGTTCAAGCCCCAGTGGAACCATGGTGTGGTCTGTTGTTTTCCTGCCTGTAATCCTAGCTCCTCGGGAGGCTGAGGCAGGAGAATCACTTGAACCCAGAGGCAGAGGTTGCAGTGAGCTGAGACTGCGTGAAACTCATCTCAAAAAAAAAAAAAAAAGTCATGCAACGTCGCTTTGCCACATCCATTTGTCAAGGCAGTCAAAGTCTCGCCCGGGTTCAAGGTGAGGGAAGTAGACTCCACCTCTTGATGGGAGTGGTAAAGTTCTGGAAGAACAGGTGGGAGTGGAAATGCGGGAGCACCTTTCAGACATGGGCTCTGCCATGTTTCCCTTGGCTGAGTTACTGGGATGGCCTCATCACTGGCCTTGCTACTTCCACTTTTTTTTTTTTTTTTTTTTTTTGAGACAGAGTTTTGCTCTTGTTACCCAGGCTGGAGTACAACGGCGTGATCTCAGCTCACCGCAACCTCCGCCTCCTGGGTTCAAGCGATTCTCCTGCCTCAGCCTCCCGAGTAGCTGGGATTCCAGGCATGTGCCACCACACCCGGCTAATTTTGTGTTTTTAGTAGAGATGTGGTTTCTTCATGTTGGTCAGACTGGTCTCCAACTCCCGACCTCAGGTAATCTGCCCTCCTCGGCCTCCCAAAGTGCTGGGAGTACAGGCGTGAGCCACAACACCCGGCCCTACTTTTTTGTTTTCTTTTGTTTTTGTTTTTGTTTTTGAGACAGAGTCTCACTTTGTCACCAGGCTGGAGTGTAGGGGGTGTGATTTCGGCTCACTGCAACCTCCACCTCCTGAGTTTAAGCGACTCTTCTGCCTCAGCCTCCTGAGTAGCTGGGACTACAAGCACCTGCCACCACGCCCAGCTAATTTTTGTTTTTTTTTTTAGTAGAGGTGGGGGTCACAATGTTGGCCAGGCTGGTCTTTAACTCCTGACCTAAAGTGATCCGCCCGCTTCAGCCTCCCAAAGTGCTGGGATTACAGGCGTGAGCCACCGTGCCCAGCCTACTTCTACTTTTGTACTTCCCTTTCTGTGACTCTCACAGAGCAGCCTGGGAAAGCTAGAAACAGATTAGCTTGTGCCCCTCCCTGCCTCTTACTTCTCAGGGTAGAACTGCCAAGGAGGCCAGAGGGACAGCCCAGTCTGTCACCGCAGACGCCTCTCACTCACCCTCTCTTCACGCCCCAGGCCTCCTTTCAGTTCCTCAAACAAAACGGACCAAGCCGATTTCCTTCCACCTCAGTGTCTTCCTGGAAATTTCTTTTCTCAACTTGTCATGAGTTTGATTCCTATTCGCCCTTCTTGCCACAGCCTGAATGTCTCTCCCTGGACAGGAACCATCGCTGATTCCACTCTAAAAATCCTTCCTGAAATCCTGTCACGTCACTTGTGCCAACGTGGATGAAGCTGCAGGACGTGATGTTAGGGTGAGACAAGCCAGGCTCAGAGAGACAAACACTGTAAGATCTCACTCATATGTGGCATCTAAAAACAGCAAACCTGGCAGGGCACAGGGGCTCACGCCCGTAATCTCAGCACTTTGGGAGGCCGAGGCGGGCGGATCATGAGGTCAAGAGTTTGAGACCAGTCTGGCCAATATAGTGAAACTCCATCTCTACTAAAAATACAAAAATTAGCTGGGCACGGTGATGCACGCCTGTAGTCCCAGCTACTCGGAAGGCTAAGGCAGGAGAATCGCTTGAACCCGGGAGGCAGAGGTTGCAGTGAGCTGAGATTGCACCATTGCACTCCAGCCTGGGCGACACAGCAAGACTTTGTCTCAAAAAAAAAAAAAAAAAAAAAAAAAAAGCACGAATCCCATTCATGGGGGCCTCACTCTCATGACCTCATCACCTCCCAAAGGCTCCACCTCTTAATACCGTCACCTTGGGAGTTAGGGTTTCCACCTATGAATTGTTCCACCTGTGAACACAAACATTCTGATCATTGCAGTATTTTTATCACAATAATAATAAAAAATACGTCGGGCGCGGTGGCTCACGCCTGTAATCCCAGCACTTTTGGAGGCCGAGGCAGGCGGATCACGAGGTCAGCAGATCAAGACCATCCTGGCTAACACAGTGAAACCCTGTCTCTACTAAAAATACAAAAAAATTAGCTGGGCATGTTGGCGGGTGGCTGTAGTCCCAGCTACTCGGGAGGCTGAGGCAGGAGAATGATGTGAACCCGGGAGGAGGAGCTTGCAGTGAGCCGAGATGGCACCACTGCACTCCAGCCTGGGCGACAGACCAAGACTCCGTCTCAAAAAAATAAATAAATAAATAAAATAATAATAATAATAATAAAGATGGCAGGAGAAATCCTTTGGAGGTCATGGGTATGTTTCTAACATAGATTTTGGTGATGGTTTCACGGGTGCATACTTATCCCCAAACTCATCAAGCTGTATACACTAAATATGCGCATATTTGTATGTCACTCATACTTCAATAAAGTGGTTGTAAAAAATCAATAAATAGGCCAGGTGTGGTGGCTCACGCCTGTAATCCCAGCACTGTGGGAGGCCAAGGTGGGCGGATCACGAGGTCAGGAGTTTGAGACCATCCTGGCCAACACGGTGAAACCCCGTCTCTGCTAAAAAACAAACGAACAAAAAAATTAGCCGGGCGTGGTGGCGGGCGCCCTTAGTCCCAGCTGCTCCGGAGGCTGAGGCGAGAGAATGGCATGAACCCGGGAGGCGGAGCTTGCAGTGAGCCGAGATTGTGCCACTGCACTCCAGCCTGGGTGACAGAGCAAGACTCCATCTCCAAAAAAAAAAAAAAAGGATACAAAAATTAGCCGGCTGTGGTGGTAGATGCCTGTAATCCCAGCTACTCAGGAGGCTGAGGCAGAATTGCTTGAACCTGGGAGGCAGAGTTTGCCGTGAGCTGCGATCGCGCCACTGCACTCCAGCCTGGGTGACAGAGCAAGACTCTGTCTCGAAAAAGAAAAAAGAAAAGAAAATCAGTAAATAAAAAAGAAAATCAGTAAATAAAGCTATGCGTAGTGGCACATGTTTGTAATTCCAGCTACTCGAGACTCAGATGGGAAGATTGCTCCAGCCCAGGAATTCGACACTGCAGTGAGCTATGATTGCACCATTTCACTCCAGCCTGGGCAGCAGAATGAGACCCTGTCTCTAAAAAAATAAAAATAAAAATAAAGGATTAAAACTAAAAATCAGGCCAGGCACTTTGGGAGGTCGAGGTGGGAAGATCGTTTGAACCCAGGAGTTCAAGACCATTCTGGGCAACATAGCAAGACCCCATGTCTACCATAAGTAAATAAATATCAACAAATAAAAGCAGGCCCTTCCTGACAAATTCTCTCAGCACTCTGTAACATTCCTTCCAGGTATTGACAATATTCGTTCATATGGTTTTTGAATAGCATCCTTTCCTACAAAACTGGAAGGTCCCCAAGAGCAGTGTCCATGCCTGCTGTGTGCCAGGCGTGGAGGAGATCCTCTGTGGATGTTTGCTGAATGAATGAATGATACAGGGGAGGAGCAGCGAACAAAGAGTCTGTCTTCACCTTCAAGAATCAACCTCTGAAAGAAGAGCCAGGGCCGGGTGTGGTGGCTCACACCCAGCACTTTGGGAGGCCGAGGCAGGTGGATCACCTGAGGTCAGGAGTTTGAGACCTGCCTGGCCAACATGGCAAAACCTCATCTCTACTAAAAGTACAAAAAAATTAGCCGAGCGTGGTGACGGGCGCCTGTAATCCCAGCTACTTGGGAGGCTAAGGCAGGAGAATTGCTTGAACCCAGGGGGCGGAGGTTGCAGTGAGCCGATATCACACCATTGCACTCCAGTGACAAGAGCAAAACTCCATCTCAAAAAACAAACAAACAAAAACAAGAAGAGCCAGGGCTGGGCACAATGGCTCACACCTGTAATCCCAGCAATTTGGGAGGCTGAGGCTCAAAGAAGATTATTTGAACCCAGGAGTTTGAGACCAGCCTGGGCAACATAGGGAGACTCTGTCTCTACAAGAAATAAAAAATCAGCCAGGCATGGTGGTGCACACCTGTGGTCCCAGCTTCAGGAGACTGAAGCGGGGGGGATCGCTTGAACCCAGGTCGAGGCTGCAGTGAGCTGTGATTGTACCACTGCATTCCAGCCTGGAAGACAGAACAAGGCTCTATCTCTAATATTAATAACAACAATAATAATACAAGAAGAGCAAGACTGGCATCACCATAAGACAAGTGCAGTGTGATAAGGACTACCAGAGAGCTAGAAAGGCGAGGCTGGAAGGGAAGTCTTCCTGGAGAAAGTGGAATGAGGGCCAAGACTTGAGGAATGGAAGGAAGTTGATTGGTGGAGAAGTTGGGCAGCTCTTTCTGAGCAGAGTCAAGATGTGGATGTGATAGCATGAAACTTGGCTGGCCAAGTAAGATGCCAGACCCCTGGTTATGTTTGAATTTCAGGTAAGCAATGAGTTATTTCTTGTTATCAGTAATGTCCCAAATAATTGCACAAAACCTATTTATTCTAAAAAAGTATTTGTGGCTTATCTGAATTCATGTTGAACTAGGTGGCTTATATTTTTGTTGTTGTTGTTTGTTTTCGTTTTTTTGAGACAGGCTCTCGTTCTGTCACCCAGGCTGGAGTGCAGTGTCACAATCTCAGCTCACTGCATCCTCCACCTCCTGAGTTCAAGCAATTCTCCTGCCTCAGCCTCCTGAGTAGCTGGGATTACAGACGTGCACCACCACGCCTGGCTAATTTTTGTGTTTTTTAGTAGAAATGGGGGTTTCACTGTGTTGGCCAGACTGGTCTCGAACCCCTGGCCTCAAGTGATCTGCCCACTTCAGCCTCCCAAAGTGTGGGGATTACAGGTGTGAGCCACTGCACCTGGCCTGTCTTGTATTTTTATTTGCTAAGTCTGGCAACCCTAGATGAGATGCTAATCCATGTGGCAATTTGGCTCTTTCTGAAAGGGCATAAATGAACTCTATTTCTTAGCTGACCACAGGAAAAAAAATGAGTTAAACTGAATTTGGAGCCCAGATTCTCAATCATTGCTGAAAGAATCAACCTCAAAATCTCAGGAACTTACCAGAGTAAATGTTTATTTCTCGTCTGTGAAATGTCTGACGTGGATGTTCTTGGTTCATGGGTTTTCCCTGAACCAAGATGGTTTTCCGCTGAGCGGTAAACTCAAGGACACAGGCTCCTTCTGCTGTGCAGTGTCACCAGCTTGGACTCCTTGGCTTCCAGTCACACAAACTGAGGAAAGAGACAGCAGGAGCTGTCACACAGCCCTTCTGTGGGCAGGCCTGCCAATGGCCTCAACTCTGGCCATGTTCCATTAGCAACACTAGGTGTGTGACTCCACCCAGATGCTGGGAGGGCCTAGAAATGTCATCTTCCTAGGCCGAGCGTGGTGGCTCACGCCTGTAATCCCAGCACTTTGGGAGGCCGAGGTGGGCAGATCACGAGGTCAGGAGTTCGAGACCAGCCTGATCAACATGGTGAAACTCCGTCTCTACTAAAAATACCAAAATTAGCCGGGCGTGGTGGCATGCACCTGTATTCCCAGCTACTCAGGAGGCTGAGGCAGTAGAATTGCTTGAATCCGGGAGGCGGAGGTTGCAGTGAGCTGAGATCCCGCCATTGCACTCCAGTGTGGGCGACAGAGGGAGACTCTGTCTCAAAAAAAAAAAAAAGAAAGAAGAAAGAAATGTTATTTTCCTGTGTGCCACAGGGCTCTGGGCAGTAAAGGACAGGTTGGTAGAATGGATGGACCACACCAGAGAGCTCTGTGTTTAAATCACAGCGTGGCCTATCATGGTGGCTCAAGCCTATAATCCTATGGGAGGCCTAGTAGGGAGGATCACTTGAGCCCAGGAACTCGAGATCAGCCTGGGCAACACAATGAGACCCTGTCTCTACAAAAAATTTTTAAATTAGGCCAGGTGTGGTGGCTCACACCTGTAATCCCAGCACTTTGGGAGGCTGAGGTGGGGGGATCACCTGAGGTCAGGAGTTCGAGACCAGTCTGGCCAAAATGGTGAAACCCTGTCTCTACTAAAAATACAAAAATTAGCTGGGCATGGTGGTGTGCGCCTGTAATCCCAACTACTCGGGAGGCTGAGGCAGGAGAATTGCTTGAACCTGGGAGGCAGAGGTTGCAGTGAGCCAAGATCACACCATTGCACTCCAGCCTGGGTGACAGAGCAACACCCCGTTTCAAAAAAAAAAAAAAATTTGCCAGGCATGGTGGTGCGTGCTTGTAGTCCCAGCTACTCAGGAGGCTAAGGAGGGAGGATTGCCTGAGCCCAGGAAGTCAAGGCTGCAGTGAGCTGAGATTGTGCCACTGCATTCCAGCCTGGGGCGACAGGAGTGAGAACCTGTATCCAAAAAATAATAATAAATAAATAAATCACAGCCCAGGTGGATTAGCCCCTTACCTTCAATCTTCTTGCTTGTAAAAAGGTCACAATACCTACCTTGCCATGTGGCTGTGAGAGGAAAGCCTGGCACACACAGAAGGTACATGATGACAAGTTGTTACTGTAGTATTATTTTGTTTGTAATCTGTCATTAAAGGTAATTCCGTGGCTTTCTGGGGAGTCCTGGTTTACCCAATAGGAACATGGAGCCATAGTATCAGATTGTTTTATATCTTAGATTTAAGACCTAGGCCGGGCGAGGTGGCTCATGGCTGTAATCCCAGCACTTTGGGAGGCCAAGGTGAGTGGATCACCTGAGGTCAGGAGTTCAAGACTGGCCTGGCCAAAATGGCGAAACCCTGTCCCTACTAAAAATACAAAAATTAGCCAGATGCGGTGGCATGTGCCTATAGTCCCAACTACTCAGGAGTCTGAGGCAGGAGGATTGCTTAAAGGCCAGAAGCGGAGGTTCCAGTGAGCCAAGATTGCGCCACTACACTCCAGCTTGATGACAAAGTGAGACTCCATCTCAAAAAAAAAAAAAAAAAAAAAAGATTTAAGAGCTAAAACCATCCAATGCAGTTGAGGCTCAGCAAAGCTCAGCAACTTGTCTGAGATCACATAGATGAGGGTCCTAAAATACACCTGGCCCCCTGCCCTCTTAGTAAACAGAGCGTCACCTTCTCCAAATGTCCACACTGTTACCTGGACCATTTCCACATAAAGAGATCAGGCTGTGTTTGCAAAGCTTCCTTCAAAGAGTTGGGAAATTTTCTTTCTGTCTCTTAAATATCAGTGACGATTATGCCTAGGCTGGAATTTTAACTTCCCATTCCAGTTTCCTGAATATAGTACAGTGAAAGAAAAGTCTAGAAATTTACTGACCTTTTCTCATTGGCTTGACACCATGCTTGACTTCTCAGTGGGGCTGAATTTCCCCTCCGGGGTCTGACTCACATTTTCCAGCACACAAAGCAACCCGTTCAATAATAACCAGACACTTTTACTGTTCAGATATCAATCTGGACCAAAAGTGGGTTGCTAATGACAATGAACAATCCACCAGCAAGGACCACACTTCCCCCCTGCTTTGTTTTTCAGTTTTCAACTTGGTTTCATTTTGCCATGACAAAAGAACTTGCTGGCCAGACACGGTGGCTCACACCTGTAATCCCAGCACTTTGGGAGGCTGAGGCGAGCAGATCGCTTGAGCCCAGGAGTTCAAGACCAGCCTACACAACATGGCGAAACTCTGTCTGTGCAAAAAATACAAAAATTAGCCAGGCGTGTGGGGCTTGCCTGTAGTTCCATCTACTTGGGAGGCTGAGGTGGGAGGATTGCTTGAGCCCAGGAGGTGGAGGTTGCACTGAGCTGATACTGTGTCACTACACTCTAGCCCAAGTGACAGAGCACGACCCTGTCTAAAAAAAAAAAAAAGAGGCCAGGTGTGGTGGCTCATGCCTGTAATCCCAGCAGTTTGGGAGGCGGAGACAGGTGGATCACCTGAGGTCAGGAGTTCTAGACCAGCCTGGCCAACATGGTGAAACCCTGTCTCTACTAAAAATACAAAAATTAGCCAGGCATGGTGATGGGTGCCTGTAATCCCTGCTACTCAGGAGGCTGAGGCAGGAGAATCACTTGAACCCGGGAGACGGAGGTTGCAGTGAGCTGAGATCGCGCCATTGCACTCCAGTCTGGGCCACAGAGCGAGACTCCATTAAAGAAAAAAAAAAAAAAAAAGAACTAGTCTGGGTGAGGTGGCTCACACCTATAATCCCAACACTTTGGGAGGCCGAGGTGGGCGGATGGCCTGAGCTCAGGAGTTCAAGACCAGCCTGGACAACATGGTGTAACCCCATCTCTATCAAAAATACAAAAATTAGCCTGGCATGGTGGCACACACCTGTAGTCCCGGCTACTCAGAAGGCTGAGATGGGAGAATTGCCTGAACCTGGGAGGCAAACATTGCAGTGAGCCGAGATCACACCAGTGCACTCCAGACTCGGTGACAGAGCGAGACTCTGTCTCAAAAAAAAAAAAAAAAGATCTTACTAAGGAGGCTGAAATGGCAGTGAGCCAGCAGCAGGCCCTGAGCTCACGTGACTATAAATTGGCCATGGCCAGCTCCGCACTGCCTGGGTTAATTTATCTTTACCGTGTTTTTCCAAGTGACAGGAGTGGTCAGGGAGAGAGAAGCAACTGACAGTAACATTAATTCACCCATCAGATGTCCCCAGCTTTGTGACCTATTGCAACAACCTCGGCCAATTTATTTTGTTGGCTTTTCCCATCTGCCAGCATCCAAAAATGAGACAAGCTGAAATAAAAACTCTTCCCAGGCCTTAGGGGTAAATAATAATTTCCTCTTTTCACCCAAAGACGAAGTGGTCCACTTCGCAGGCAAATCATTTTGCAGGCTTTCGGAGATGGCTTTCAACGTGTTTCACCCACAAACATCTGGAACCAGCTCTTCTTTACAAGTTATTTTCAGCAAGCAGCAAAATGCCATTCTGTAGTGTAGGAATTTCCACCAGGCACGTTTCAGGCTGCCTGTGTCGCCGTAGGGCAAATGACTACACAGATTGTCCTCCTGGACAGATTGGCAAGGAAAGATCTTCGATGATATGTTATATAACAAATGAAATGCCTATTCCTATAGTAAGGCTCAAAAAAACCTTTGATCAAAATTAGACCAGGTGTATGATTTTTCTTTTTTGGGACAGTGTCTCACTCTGTTGACCAGGCTGGAGTTCAGTGGTGCAATTACAGCTCACTGCATCCTCGACTTCTGGGGCTCAAGCAATACACCTGCTTCAGCCTCCTTAGTAGCTGGAACTACAGGTGCATGCCACTGTACGTGGCTAATTTTTTTGATTTTTAGTAGAGACGGGGTTTCCGTGTGTTGCCCAGGACAGTCTTGAACTCCTGAGCTCACTGAATCCTCCCGCCTCAGCCTTCCAAAGTGTGGGGATTACAGGCATGAGCCACTGTGCCTGGTTTCAGGTTTATGATTTGGAGTATGTATTTAGAGCAAATATTGTAAAAGGTGATCCCTCAAGAAAAAAGGAAATCATAGTCTCTTTGTTTGCTTCTGTCTCCAAAGAGGGAAGAGCAAAAGTCCTCAGCGATGTGGCTCCTTTGGACCAAGCTTCGTGGAAGATGAGAAGATCATTAGAAACCACCGACCTGAAAATGGGGGTTTCCTAGGACAATCAAGACTCACATTTGACTTTTTTTTTTTAAGATATGAGAGCTTCTTATTTTATCTCCTCTGAAATTAGTCACTAGTCTTTCTGACTACCAAACACAGCTAAACTGTATGTGCATATATATATATATATATATGGCTTCTGTCCCCCTACACAGAAAGGAGAGAAGAGAGAAGGAGAGAAGGAAATTATTACTTATGCAGGTGAAAGTAGTCAGCTGGGAGATTTCACATTTTCACTTAGCAGAGAGCGGGGAGGAGCTATTTTGATAGTACAGCTTCTCTTTCCATGGTGAAAGATAGATAACTTCTTCAAAGCTAAAACAAAGCTAAATACAGTTCTGGTTTAAAATTTAATATATGTAAGGCTCAACTTTATCACAAGTTCCAAGACTTAGATTTTAAAATAAAACTACCCAAAAAAGATAGCTAAAATAAGTGACTTACAGTTTTTTGTTTTGTTTTGTTTTGTTTGAGACAGAGTCTCCCTCTGTTGCCCAGGCTGGAGTGCAGTGGTGCGATCTTGGCTAACTGCAGCCTCCGCCTCCTGGGTTCAAGCAATTCTCCCGCCTCGGCCTCTTGAGTAGCTGAGACTACAGGCACGCACCGCCATACCCGGCCAATTCTTTTGTATTTTTAGTAGAGAGGGTGTTTCACCATGTTGGCCAGGCTGGTCTTGAACTCCTGTCCTCTGGTGATCCACCCACCTCGGCCTCCCAAATTGCTGGGATTACAGGCATGAGCCACTGCGCCCAGCTGAGCTCATGCCTGTAATCCCTGCATGAGTTCATTGGCCATTTCTATATCTTGCTTGGAGAAATGTCTATTCACATTCTTTGCCTATTTTTTAATTGTGTTTTTTGTTTTTTTGTTTGTTTTTGAGACAGAGTCTTCCTCTGTGACCCAGGCTAGAGGGCGGTGGTACTATCTTGGCTCACTGCAGCTTCCACCTCCTGGAGTCAAGGGATTCTCCTTCCTCAGCCTCCCAAGTAGGCTGGGACTACAAGTGCTCGCCAACATGCCAGGCTAATTTTTGTATTTTTAGTAGGGATGGGGTTTCCCTATATTGGCCAAGCTGGTCTCGAACTCCTGACCTGAAGTGATCTGCCTGCCTCAACCTCCCAAAGTGCTGGGATTACAGGTGTGGGCCACTGCGCCCGGCCATGTTATTTATTTATTTATTTATTTATTTATTTATTTATTTATTTGAGACAGAGTCTAGCTCTGTCGCCCAGGCTGGAGTGCAGTGGCGCAATCTCGGCTCTCTGCAAGCTCTGCCTCCTGGGTTCGCGCCATTCTCCTGCCTCAGCCTCCCGAGTAGCTGGGACTACAGGCGCTCGCCACCACGCCCGGCTAATTTTTTTTTGGATTTTTAGTAGAGACGGGGTTTCACCATGTTAGCCAGGAATGTTGGGCTAATTTTTGTATTTTTAGTAGAGACAGGGGTTTCGCCATGTTGGTCAGGCTGGTCTTGAACTCCTGACCTCGTGATCCGCCCGCCTTGGCCTCCCAAAGTGCTGGGATTACAGGCGTGAGCCACCGCGCCCAGCACCACATTATCTTGTTAATAATGAATTGTAAGCCTCTGGAAGCTTTTCCTCTTTCCTCCCTTTCTTCATTCTTTAATGTTTTTCTCGCTGAAAGAGCACTGAAAAGGATAGCTAAAATATAGTGCCGGAGCTCAAGGATCTCACAGTCTAATGGAGGAGAGAAATACCAGAGAAGGAGCAATTCGTGTCAGGGATGGGGGATCTGGTTGGGCTTCACAAAAGATGAAATAATTTGGGTCTGTGTCCCCACCAAATCTCATGTTGAATTGTAATCCCCAATGTTGGAGGTGGGCCGTGGTGGGAAGTGTTTGGGTCGTGGGGTTGGATCCCTCACAGTAGTGAGTTGTCATGAGATCTGGTTGTTTAAAAATGCGCCCCCCGCCGCCGCTCCCTCTCCCGCCATGTCAGTCGCCTGCTCCCCTTCGCCTTCCGCCATGATTGGAAGCCCCCGGAAGCCTCCCCAGAAGCTGTTGCCGGTGCTATGCGACCTGTACAGCCTGCAGAACCGTGAGCCAATTGAACCTTGTTTTCTATAAATTATGCAGTCTCAGGTATTTCTTCATAGCAATGAGAGAACAGACTAATATAGAAGACAACACCATGAGTTGGAGAAGAGCATTCCAGCTCACGCCATGGCCTCAGGGGCATCCTACTCTTGATTTTCTTTGATGTATACATGAAGGGGATGGTGGCAGAAACACTTTCAATGAATTTGTGCTCTTGGAGTCACCTTTACATCAATTCGAGGGGGAAATGCCGTGATTAAGCCATTCGCTAAGTAAAGCTGTCAAATAGCAGCTTCTGGTGCATGTAGACCAGGCAGTCACATTTGGTGATTTAGGGGCTGTGTGAAGACCCCGCGCCTACCGTTAAACAATCTATCCAAATCACTCCCATCTCTACAAATATACGACAGCTGCCACAGAAATCTCTTGTTTTCGCTCTGGAGGGAGAATGCCTCCAGTAACTGGTTTACTTATAGGGCCAGCTTATTAAACTTACAGTTTACTTATTTATTTTTATTTGTTTGTTTTGGTTTTTGTTTTGTTATTGTTGTTTTTTGAACTTACAGTATAAAAAACAGTAACTCAGACATTTGAATCCTGCCCCACCACTAATCAGCTTCTTGCCTTGGCCAATCCCAACCTGAGTCAGTACCCTTATTCGTACAATGGATTTAGTAACACCTGCTTTATGCAGTAATTACAAAGGTTAAAATAATCCATACCTGTTAAATAACTGGCCAGTGCTTGGCCAAAATAGAATCCCCAAATAGTTTGAATCTGTGTCACGAGACTCTGACAGCACAGGGCACTGATGCACAGAAAGGGTGTCATTGTGTCACTGAAGAGGTGTGATTGATGGGCGGGGTCTGGTGTTTATTTGCAGCACCAGAGAGGGGGCCTCCCACCGAGGAAGGAAATGCCAGAAATAAAGGGGCAATGAGGGGGCGTGAGGGTGAGGACATGACCCGCGTCACCAGGGCAGTCGTGGGCTGAAGCCTTTCTGTATGTCCTCCTGCCCCCCGGTCACCTGCAGCGAGTGAGACCTTCCAGGGCCACATGACATGAACCGTGGGAACAGCACCTTCACTAGGCTGTGCCTGACTTTCGAAGGGGTTTTCAGGAGAGCTTTGGACAAAGCGTGGAGGCACGAATTCTCAAAAAATCCAAATGAGGGCCCCAGAGCCACTGGCCTCCCCACTTTCTGCAGCAGGACCTGGGTGGACACTGGTGCCCACAGACCCCCCAGACAGGACACGAGGTGCCCCGCGAGGTGGAAATACATCTTCTTCCCGCCTCACAGTGCAGCAGAGAAGCACTGACTTTCTAGCTGCTTTAGCCACACACAATGGCACCTCTGTTCCTGTCCAGTGAGCTTGCTGCCTCCAGGGACACTGCCGGGGCCCATCGTGGCCATGCCGGGAACATGCAGTCCTTTGATAATCGCCCTTTATCCCGGCCTCTAAATCAAAGCGGCAAACATGCTGACAACAACTCCAGCAAACGCAACCGATGCTTTCAGGTCTGACCCTGAAACGGAGACCCACCTCCGTGGGGAGAAGCACACGCTTCTCTGGGCTGTAGGCTCGACGGAAACAGGAACTGCGGGCCCTGCACACAGCTGCGCTCGCCGGGGCAGCTCAGACTCACATCCCCAGGGGGATGCGAGTTATCCAGAACGGCGTTCCTGACCCCCAGAGGGGTGAGTCACCCCGGCCCGCCTTTCCACGTGCTGTGTGAAGCCTGTGGACAACTTCAGATGCCTTGTTGTTTTTTTATCGAGGTGAAATTCAAGTAACGTAAAATGAACCATTTAAAGTGAAAAATTCGGGCCGGGTGCAGTGGCTCACACCTGTAATCCCAGCACTTTGGGAGACCGAGGTGGGAGGATCGTTTGAGCCCAGGAGTTCGAGACCAGCCTGGACAACATAGTGAGACCCTGTCCCCGAAAAAAGAAAAACAAAATTAGCCGGGCATGGTAGTGTGCACCTGTGTTCCCAGCTACTCCGGAGGCTGAGGTGGGAGGATGGCTTAAGCCTGGTGGGGGTTGAGGCTGCAATGAGCTATGATTGTCCCACTGCACTCCCAGCCTGGGTGACAGAGAGAGGCCCTGTCTCAAAAAAAAACTAAAATAAATAAATAAATAAAAGGAATAATTCAGTGGCATTTAAAACATTCACTGTTCTGCAGGCACCACCGCTATCTAGCTCCAAAGTGTTCTCCTCACCCCAAATACAACCCCGCACCCATGTGCAGTCACTCTTCATTCTCCCCTCCCAGACTGTGACGGCAACGTGCCAGGGACTGTGCTCAGGGCAGAAGCACAGTGGTCAACACAGCGGTTGCAGTCCCTGCCAACATGGGGTCCAGTCTAACGTGACATCCAGATACAAAACAACTGGAAATGGCACGTGTTACAGGAGCCTATGACAGAAGTGCTAAGCAGGGGCCGGGCGCCGTGGCTCACGCCTGTAATCCCAACACTTTAGGAGGCCGAGGAGGGTCAGGGGTTCAAGACCAGCCTGGCCAACATGGTGAAACTCAGTCGGTACTAAAAATACAAAAATTAGCCAGGCGTGGTGGTGCACGCCTTTAATCCCAGCTACTCAGGAGGCTGAGGCAGGAGAATCACTTGAACCCAGGAGGCAGAGGTTGCAGTGAGCCGAGATTGTGCCACTGCACTCCAGCTTGGGTGACAAAGCGAGACTCCGTCTCAAAAAGAAAAAAAAAAACACTGCTGAGCGGGTCCAAGCTCAGAGTTCCCATACGATGCCCTGCTGAGGTGGGCTTGACGGTCATCCCCATTCTCCAGATGAACAAACTGGAATCTTGAGAGGTTAAATGCCCTGCTCAAGGTTAGACCACCAATAAATGGCAAAGTTGGGATTCAAACAAAGGTCCCTGTGACATCCACCAAGTTGCTTTCTGTCTCTATGGATTTAATTATCCCGTACATTTCATATCAATGGAATCACACAATATGTGACCTTTTGTGTCTGGCTTCTGTTATTTTAATATTGCAAAGGTTCATCCATGATGTAGCATACTTTAATGCTCGATTCCCTTTTTTTCTTTTTTTATCAGAGTCTCGCTCTGTCACCCAGGCTAGAGTGCAGTGGCGCGATCTTGGCTCACTGCAAGCTCCGCCTCCCGGGTTCACGCCATTCTTCTGCCTCAGCCTCCCGAGTAGCTGGGACTACAGGCGCCCGCCACCATGCCCGGCTAATTTTTTGTATTTTTAATAGAGACGGGGTTTCACTCTGTTAGCCAGGATGGCCTTGATCTCTGACCCCGTGATCCGGCCACCTCGGCCTCCCAAAGTGCTGGGATTACAGGTGTGAGCCACCGCGCCCAGCCTCGATTCCCTTTTATAACTGAATCCTATTTCATTGTATGGATGGACACACTTTGTTTCTTCGCTCATCTGCGGATGCACATTTGGCTTGTTTTCCTTTTGGTTTCTGTTGACAGTGTTGCTATGAACATTGGTGCACAGTATCTGTTTGAGTCCCTGCTTTTAATTCTTTAGGAGTGGGATGCTGGATCATAGGATGATTTTGTTTGTTTGTTTGTTTGTTTTGAGACAGGGTCTTGCTCTGTCCCCCAAGCTGGAGTGCAGCGGTGTGATCACGGTTCACTGCAGCCTTGACCTCCCGAGCTCTGGGGATCCTCTCACCTCAGCCCCACAAGTAGTTGGGACTGCAGGCATATGCCACCATGCCTGGCTAATTTTTTGTAATTTTTGTAGAAACAGGGTTTCATCATGTTGCCCAGGCTGGTCTCAAACTCCTGGGCTCTAGCCATCTGCCACCCCATCCTCTCAGTGCTGGGATTACAGGTGTGAGCCACTGCAGCCAGCCTGAGCATCTTTTCATGTGCTTGTTGGCCATTGGTATATCTTTTTTGAGAAATGTCCACTCAAGTTCTTTGCGCAGTTTTTAGTTGGATTGTTCGTTTTTTTGTTGTTGAGTTGTAAGAGCTTTTTTTTTTTGAGACGGAGTCACTCTGTGGCCCAGGCTGGAGTGTAGTGGCGTGATCTCAGCTCACTGCAACCTCCACCTCCTGGGGTCAAGTGATTCTCCTGCCTCAGCCTCCCGAGTAGCTGGGACTACAGGTGCCTACCACCACATCTGGCTAATTTTTTTGTATTTTTTTTTTTTCACCATGTCAGCCAGGTTGGTCTTGAACTCCTGACCTCAAGTGATCTGCCCGCCTCGGCCTCCCAAAGTGCTGGGATTACAGTGTGAGCCACTGCGCCTGGCCTGTAGGAGCTCTTTATATATGAATGAGCTCATAGGCTTCAGCTGTTTTTACCACATTCTGATTTTTCAAATGCTTCCCTCCTCCACTAGACAGGGAGTTCCTTAAGAGCAGGGCCTGGGCCTTTGTTAAACAAACAAACAAACAAACAACAACAACAACAAAAAACAGACCAGGCTCAGTGGCTCACGCCTGTAATCCCAGCATTTTGGGAAGCCAAGGTGGATCACCTGAGGTCAGGAGTTGGAGACCAGCCTGGCCAACATGGTGAAACCCTGTCTCTACTAAAAATACAAAAATTTAGCTGGGCATGGTGGTGCATGCCTGTAATCCCAGCTACTCGGGAGGCTGAGGCAGGAGAATCACTTGAACCTGGGAGGCAGAGGTTGCAGTGAGCCGAGATCCTACCACTGCACTTCAGGCTGGGTGACAGAGTGACACTCTGTCTCAAAAAAAAAAAAAAAAAATTAAGTGGAAGAAGCCAGATGCCAAAAGCGACATATTATAAAAAGATAAGGAATTCTCTGGGGTGGTAGAAATGCTCTGTATCTTGTTTAGGCTGCAGGATACAAGGGTGTATACAATAATGATCAAAACTCTCACTCCTGTAATCCCAGCACGTTGGGAGGCTGAGGCGGGCAGATTGCCTGAGGACAGGAGTTCGAGACCAGCCTGGCTAACACGGTGAAACCCCATCTCTACTAAAAATACAAAAAATAGCCAGATGTAGTGGCGCATGCCTGTAATCCCAGCTACTCAGGAGGCTGAGGCAAGAGAATCGCTTGAACCTGGGAGGCAGAGGTTGCAGTAGGCCAAGATCACACTACTGCACTCCAGCCTGGGTGACAGAGCAAGACTCTGTCTCAAAAAAAAAAAAAATTATCAAAACTCATCAAAATGAATATTCGAGATTTATGCATTTTATTGAATATAAATAATCCCTAAATAAATAAAGTCTTGTTATTAAAACAAAACAACAAAAAAAAGCCAGGCACGGTGGCTCACGCCTGTAATCCCAGCACTTTGGGAGGCCGAGCTGGGTGGATCACGAGGTCAGGAGTTCAAGACCAGTCTGGCCAAGATGGCGAAACCCCATCTCTACTAAAAATACGAAAAGAAAAAAAAATTAGCCAGGCATGGTGGTGGGTGCCTGTAATCCCAGCTACTTGGGAGGCTAAGGCAGAGAATTACTTGAACCTGGGAGGTGGAGGTTGCAGTGAGCCAAGACTGCACCACTGCACTCCAGCCTGGGTGACAGAGCAAGACTCCATCTCAAAAACAAACAAACAACAACAACAAAAACCTCTAGAGGCTGGGTGTGGTGGCTCATACCTGTAATCCCAGCACTTTGAGAGGCTGAGGCAGGAGGATTGCTTGAGCCCAGGAGTTCCAGACCAGACTAGACCAGACCAACCCTGTCTCTGCAAAATATTTTAAAAATTACCTGGGCATAGGGGTGTGTGCCTGTAATCCCAACTACTCCAGAGGCTGAGGTGGGAGGATTGGGTAAACCCAGGAGTTTGAGACCACCTTGGGCAACATGGTGAGACTCCGTTTCCACACAAAATTTAAAAATTAGCCGGGCATGGTGGTGCACACTTGTGGTGCCAGATACTCAGGGGGCTGAGGCAGGAGGATAATTTGAGCCCAGGAGGTCGAGTGAGCCCGGGAGGCTGCAGTGAGCCATGTTCCTGCTACTGTGCTCCAGCCTGGGCAACAGAGTGAGACTCTGTCTTAAAAAAAAAAAGAAAGCAAAAAGACCGCTAGTCCCAGGGCCTTGCCCAGAGAGTAGCTTAAGCAATGTGTGCAAAGTAATTCATGTCATGAATAAATACTAGTTGTTAGGTGATCTTGTGACGCAAAATGGGATTCGCCCGCAGCGTTCATTGCATTCTCTCCTACCTGCACCAACTCTTAGCACTCTGAGCCCTAGGGCTCGGCACAGGGAATAGGCGGACTGGACAGGCAATGGCATGGAGAGCAGGGTGGCTTACGCTGACTCTGTGTGGTTCGGGTGGGGCTGCCCAAGGGTGATCATTGGCCAGGCTTGGGTCATCAAATGCTCCCTGATGGGTTTAATGATATGACCCAAACAAGGTCAGCCAAAGCCCTCTCCAGGCCACACAGCAGAAGCTCTTTCTAGGCCGGATGTGGTGGCTAATGCCTGTAATCCCAGGACTTTGGGAGGCCAAGGTGGGCGGAGTTGGAGACTAGCCTGGCCAACATGGCGAAACCTCATCTCTACTAAAAATGGAAAAATCAGCCGGGTGTGGTGGCGTGCCTCTGTAATCCCAGCTATAGGAGTCTGAGGCAGGAGAATCACTTGGACTCAGGAGGCAGAGGCTGCAGTGAGTCGAGATCATGCCACTGCATTCCAGCCTGGGAATCAGAGTGAGACTCCTCAAAACAAACAAGCAAACAAACAAACAAAACTCTTTCTAGTTGGGTGGCTGGCATAGTCCTGAGCTGGGGTGACCGTGAAGCCTGCATCTTGAGAGAGCAGAGGGACATCTGCAGATGACAGAGCCCCAGCGGCGTCATCTCAGCCTTTGCATTTACATAGCCATGTTTGAAGCGTACATGTAGACTTTGCAGTTCTGGGATCCCCAACATTCTCCTCCTTGTTTAAGATGCATTGAGTTGATTGGTTGATTGAGTTAGATTTACTTTTTTACTTTTTTTGGAGACAGGGTCTTGCTCTGTTGCCCAGGATGGAGTGCAGTGGCGTGATCCTGGCTGGCTGCAGCCTCGACCTCCTGGGCTTAAGCAATCCTCCTGCCTCAGCCTCCCTAGTACCTGGGACCACAGGCACATGCCACCACGCCCAGCTAATTTTTGTATTTTCTGTAGAAACGGGGTTTCACCATCCAGCCTAGGCTGGTCTCAAACTCCTGAGCTCAAGCAATCCTCCAGCCTCGGCCTCCCAAAGGGCTGGGATTACAGGCATGAGTCACCGTGTGCGGCAGGTTTGAGTTAGATTTCCGTTATTTTCAACAAAAAGATTAAAGAGCCCATATTTGGATGTCACACACAGCTCTGTTTGAATCCCAGCCCTGCCATGTATTGGTGGTGTTACCTTGGGCAAGGCACTTCACCTGTCAAGGATCCAGTTTGTTCATTGGAAGAACAAGGATGATCGCGAAGCCCACCCTATCAGAGCACCGTGTAGAGTGCACGAGTGTATGGGAACCCTGAGTGTGGACCCACCCAGCACTTCCATCATAGGCTCCTGTCACACATGTGCCATTTCCAGTTGCTTATGCCATGTCTGGCTGTCATGTTAGACTGTGGACCCTTGAAGGCAGGGCCTGCAACCGCCGTGTTCACCACTCTGCTTGTGTCCTGAGCACAGTCCCTGGCACGTTGTAGTCACACAGTGTTAGTTGAATGACTTTTCCATTCACTGACTGAATGACCGTAGCACATTGCTTACTCCCACTGAAGTCAAAGTCTCTGATGTCCCCACCTGCCCATAAGGAAGGTCACACTGAGCAGCTGGTGGAATCCCAGTGCATGGAAATGCAGTTGGTTTGTTTCCTCCTTTCCTTTTGTCCCATGAAAACTTACCAGCTACCTGTCCTGGAATATCCATCTTTCTCCCAAATCCCTCCTGAAAAAAGTGGTCAGTCTCCTGTTAATTTTGCATTGATTCCTAAATTCTTTCCCTTTCCTGGGAATCTCCTGGGGTCACCCTCGCTGGCCACCTGAACGTGGTCCCTGCTTTCATGAGAGTCCTTCAAGTGTTGCTGGCCTAATTCCCCACACAAGCTTGCTAAGTGCTGGGACCTGGCTTGGCTATAAATATCCTCAGATGTAAGTGACCTCAGAGCTCGGACCCCAGCCCCTCCCTCTGCAGATAACAAAACGTATTTCTCAGAGCCTCCTTTGGAGGCTGCCCCTGGGGAAAAAGCAGGTCCCCTCTGCCCTCCCGATTACATGGAAAATGCAGTCCCAGCTGACGCCTGAAATTCTTTCCTTAGGGTTTAATCTCTTTGATTTAACCAAGTGATCCCTATCAAAATGTCAATGCCCAAGGAAAGGTTTCCGCTCTCTGGTCTGTCCCTCACATTCTAAAGTGAAAGGAGGATCCAGACAGACACACATTAGCGGCTAGGGGTGGCTCCTTTTCAGATTCCTTTTCTCTTTCTTTTTTTTTTTGAGACGGAGTCTTGCTCTGTCGCCCAGGCTGGAGTGCAGTGGTGCCATCTCGGCTCACTGCAACCTCCGCCTCCCGGGTTCACGCCATTCTCCTGCCTCAGCCTCCCGAGCAGCTGGGACTACAGGCGCCCGCCACCACGCCCAGCTACTTGTTTGTATTTTTAGTAGAGACGGGGTTTCACCATGTTAGCCAGGATGGTCTCAATCTCCTGACCTTGTGATCCACTCACCTCGGTCTCCCAAAGGGCTGGGATTACAGGCGTGAGCCACTGCGCCCGGCCCCTTTTCTCTTTCATCTGATGCCATCAGCACAAAAACGTGGCAACAAAGTACTGGGGAAATTGCTCTGTCTCCGTGCACCCCCGCAAGTCTTGTCTGCATCCCAGGAGCTCGTGGTCCCTGCCGTGCCTGCCTGCCCCTGCTCCCTGCAGCCTCCATCCTGGCTCCCTCCGCCTCTGCGCACCCTCCTCTGAGCACCTCCCTGCCAGCACCTCATGGACTCACAGCACCTTTGGCCAGGACTCCAGTTTGCCGGGTGTGGTCAGGGGCCTGTCCTGGTCCGACTGGTTCTCAGGGAACTGGCTTGAGTGGCAGCGCCTTGTTCTACAGGGTGGCAGGGGTGGGGGAGCGGGAATCTTAAATCCCCACCCGGCGCAGTGTGGGGCTTTGTGACCTGACACTGGTGGGATGGGGCAGGGGGTGCCATGAGAAGGAGCTGGCATCAGGAGTTATTCTCTGAGGCTGTGGGTTTTTAATTTGCTTTTGATGTCTGTAATGTTACCTTTTACTGACCTCAAGGCCTGCTTGTACTGGCAGGTCAGCACGGTTTTGAACTGCTGAAATGGGTCAAAAAATGCATCTGGGGATCATCAAGCTCTTTCTGAGTGGTTCCACGCTCGCTCCTTTCAACTTAAACAGCCATGACCTAGTATGGGCTCAGCTCATCCACCAATACTTAGGACACCCAGTCTGGGCCCATGAGGAATACAGTTTAGAAAGTGTGATGCCAGCCAGGTGCGGTGGCTCATGCCTGTAATCCCAGCACTTTGGGAGGCCGAGGTGGGCAGATCACCTGAGGTTGGGAGTTCAAGACCAGCCTAACCAATATGGAGAAACCCCGTCTCTACTAAAAATACAAAATTAACCGGGCATGGTGGCACATGCCTGTAATCCCAGCTACTAGGGAGGCTGAGGCAGGAGAATAGCCTGAACCTGGGAGGCGGAGGTTTCGGTGAGCCGAGATCGTGCCATTGCACTCTAGCCTGCAACAAGAGTGAAACTCTGTCTCAAAAAAAAGAAGAAAGAAAGAAAGTGTGATGCTGACTGGGGTAGTGGCTCACGCCTGTAATCCCAGCACTTTGGGAGGCTGAGGCAGGCCGATCACTTGAGTCCAGGAGTTCATGACCAGCCTGGCCAACATGGTGAAACCCTGTCTCTACTAAAAAATACAAAGATTACAAGGCCGGATTTGGTGGCTCACGCCTGTAATCCTAGCGCTTTGGGAGGCCGAGGCGGGTGGATCACGAGGTCAGGAGATTGAGACCAACCTGGCCAATATGGTGAAACCCCGTTGCTACTAAAAATACAAAAAATTAGCCAGGCGTGGTGGCAGGCACCTGTAATCCCAGCTACTTGGGAGGCTGAGGCAGGAGAATCACTTGAACTTGGGAGGTGGAGGTTGCAGAGAGCCAAGATCACGCCATTGCACTCCAGCCCAGGTGAGTGTGAGACTCCGTCTCAAAAAAAAAAAAAAATTACAAGCAAATACAAAAATTTGCTGGGCGTGGTGGCCTGTGCCTGTTATTCCCAGCTACTCCAGAGGCTGAGGCACAAGAATTGCTTGAATCTGGGAGGTGGAGGCTGCAGTGAGCCAAAATTGCGACACTGTACTCCATCCTGGGAAACAGAGTGAGACGCTGTCTCAAAAAAAAAAATAGATCTTGGCTTCACAGAGCTCCGAACCCATCGGAGAAACAAGATGTCCACACTGCCATGCAACAGGTGGACCACTAGCATCATCAAAGTCACCGTCCCCCACGGACGGGTATAGGACTGGGCTGGGGTCAAAAGGGCTTCCTAGGTACACAGGAAGCAGCGATGAGAGGGGGTGCTGTCTGGCAGCCCACAGCATCTGGCAGCCCATTGATTTGTCTGCTCTGGAATCCTCTCCTGCTCTTGTTAGGTCTGGCCATGGTCTCTCCTGCTTCCAAACAGATGGCTGACAGGGGTGGCATGGTGTAGGCCGGAGCCAGGCCCATCAGAGGCCTTCCCAAATCCAGTGTCCAGCCCAGGGACAGAGGCAGGAGTGAAGCCTAGTTTCTCTGGTGGTGGGGCCCTGAGGCCGCTGCGCGCTGCTTCACCAGTGGTTTAGCTACAGAAGCCAGCAGCTTCCCTGCCCCAGCATGGGATGGTCGTGGGCTTAGCAGGCAGGAGGTTATTAGGGAGTGTCTTGGGGTCCACAACCGTGGAAGGGAAGGTGAGGAGGCAGGAGTGGGTCAGGGAGAAGCTGTGCTGCCAAGGAGGCCAAGGCCAGCCCAAGGACACTTTGCAGAGCTAGAGGAGTCCTTCAGCACAGTAGCGGGAGAGCCCTGGGGCTTAGTACTCCTGGGATGTACTTAGTACTCCACAGTGATGGCTGTGGCCCGGGAAGAGCTCGGCCTTGCACCAGTGACTCTCTGCAGCTGAGGGCCTGCCAGCTGCACTTCCAGCATCGGGGTGAGAGGTTGCTTCTGGGTGGCATATCCTAACACCCAGCACTTTTTCAACTGAATTTTATTCCCAAGAGTCCTGACCTTTTGAAGGCAAAATTGCTCTTTCTGGTTCAAAGCAGTCATGGTGTTTCATGCTGACTGTCACAGAAAAGCACCAGGTGACCACAAGAAAAGAAGTGAGCTGACTTTGGGCACACTACATATAAGAAGCAGAGTGCAGTGGCGTGATCTTGGCTCACTGCAACCTGTCCCTTCCGTGCTCACGCAATCCTCCAGCCTCAGCCTCCCAAGTAGCTAAGGCTGCAGGCTCGGGCCACCACACCCAGCTAATTTTTGTATTTTTGTTTGTAGAGGCGGGGTTTCACCATGTTGCCCAGGCTGGACTTGAACTCGAGCTTGAATGATCCACCTGCCTTTGCCTCCCAAAGTGCTAAGATTACCACACCTGGCCTGGAAATTCTTAATTATGCCACATTTCCAAACAACATGCCTTCTCATGCCAACAGTCTGGAAACTGTCAAAGGTGGTAGGGATGGTGGGGCTGTGGGGGTAAATGTCCCAAGGAAAGGGGCAGAAAGAAGGCAAGTAAAGTAGGGAAGGGAGATGGGCGCGGTGGCTCATGCCTGTAATCCCAGCACTTTGGGAGGACGAGGCTGTTGGATCACCTGAGGTCAGGAGTTCCAGATCAGCCTGGCCAACACTGCGAAACCCTGTCTCTACTAAAAATACAAAAATTAGCTGTGTGTGGTGGTGTGCACCTGTAGTCCCAGCTACTTGGGAGGCTGAGGCAGAAGAATTGCTTGAACCTGGGAGGCAGAGGTTGCAGTGAGCCAAGATTGTGCCATTGCACTCCAGCCTGGGCAACAGAGCAAGATTCTGTCTTAAAAAATAAATACATAAAAAATGAAATAGGAAAGGAGGAGAACAAGAGAAAGTGTGGGAAACAGATGAGGAGAGGAAACAGGATTTGTCTTAATAATTCCAGGACAAACTGAGTGGCCCACTGACCTATCTTTTAATCTCCCAGCCATCTGCTCCTATCAGTTACTGCTGCCTAAATGCTTATGTGAAAAATAAAGTTTTGCTTAAAATAATAAAAGAATGCTATACAGAAAAGCTATAGGCATCAAGCATACAGAGTCAGTGCATATATTTAACTTGTATTTTGGCTGTTTTCTTTTTTTGCTGCCCAGGCTGGAGTGCAGTGGTGCGATCTCGGCTCACTGCAACTTCTACCTCCTGCATCCAAGTGATTCTCCGTACCTCAGTCTCCTGAGTGGCTGGGACTACAGGCGCGCACCACTACGCCTGGCTGATTTTTGTATTTTTAGTAGAGACAGGGTTTCACCATGCTGGACAGGCTCGTCTTGAACTCCTGACTTCAGGTGATCCGCCCGCCTTGGCTTCCCAAAGTGCTGGACTTACAGGCATGAACCACCATGCCTGGCCATTGGCTGTTTTCTTGCTGTGCCAACAAATAAGATAACAAGTAAAGCACACAAGCTAGTCGGGCCAACCTATCAGTTTGGTCTCCTGCAAAACAAAGATAAAGCCCACTGACAGCTTTTCTGTGTGAATAGTGGCTCGGAAGTCATAGGACTGAATGTTGAAGAAATTCTCTGGGTCTAACTTTCAACCTTCAAAACATAAAGCAAGGCTTCACGAAAACACAAAGTTGACAGGATCCCACCGGAAGAGAAATTTAATTTAATTAACCAAGAGATGACAGTTTAGGAGACAAGTTATGTAAACTTCTTTAGCTATAGGTTTCCTAGTGGAGAGATTAAATGGGATCTCAAAAGTGCTTTCTGGTCTCTTTCTAGAGTCTAGTGGTTCTAAATTGTTTGACGATTTGGAGTTGCAGAGGTGAACTAGGAACAGCAACTCGACAAGCCAGCACTGCAACTGTGACGGGAAGACTGTCCGTCTCATGACAGCACAGAAACACGAGGGTGGGCTCATCTGCGTTGGAAGAACGGCGAGTAGAAGGGCCACAGCGTAGGTCCACAGGTTAACGCAACAGGCTTTGAAGCACGTCTTTCAAACTAACACAGGCCCGGGTCAGTCCCTGTCTGGAAGGTGCTTTCATTTTCATGGAAGAGAGGAGGTCTCTTGCTTTTAGATACGCTTGCTTGAGAAGCCAGGTGTGCCCCTCTGACCATAGCAAGTCAGAGCAGCCAGGGAGGCCTTTTCACTCCCAGGATCGCGGACGTGCTCAGAGCTCCTGCAGCCAGGGAGGTCCGCACAGTGCCTTTCACCGTCCTCCATCTCAGTTTCTATGGGCCAGGTTCGTTCTCTGTGCTGGAGTCCTTGGATCCAGGGACTTTCTTATTTAATTGTTTTTTTTTAACTTTTTTTTTTGGTTTGAGACAAAGTTTTACTCTTGTTGCCCAAACTAGAGTGTAGTGGCACAATCTCGGCTCACTGCAACCTCCACCCCCCCGGGTTCAAGTGATTCTCCTGCCTCCCAAGTAGTTGAGACTACAGGCCTGCACCACCATGCCTGGCTAATTTTTGTATTTTTAGTAGAGACAGGGTTTCACCATGTTGGCCAGGCTGGTCTCGAACTCCTGGCCTCAGGTGATGTGCCCGCCTCAGCCTCCCAAAGTGCTGGGATTTTAGGCATGAGCCACCATGCCCAGCCTTTTTAAAACTTATTATTTTTTACTTTTTTAAATCTTCCTGTCTGCTATCGAAGGATCCAGGGACTTTCTTATTTAATTTTTTTTTAAATATTCCTGTCTGCTATTGAAGGATCCAGGGACTTTCTAACTCTACCTCCCCACTGGCAATGCCTGCCCTTGGGGGTGGGGAGTGAGGGTTGCAGGAGAGCTCCTGGACCCCAGCTGCTCTTTGTACACACCTTCAGCTAGCGCCCCGTGTCTACCCTAGCTCAAGCCTGTCCAGCAGAGACAGCTGCTCCCTCAGGCCCCCTGTTTTTTCTGGGGTCCTGCAGCTCCAACGAGTTTGCTTCTTACGCCTCTCCTCTATGCTGGCCTTCAGATGCTAACGTTCTCTGGTCTGTCATAGTTGACCGTCTACCTTCTGTCTTTCAGGATTCTATCAGCTTCTTTCAACTGCAGAATCTCCTTGTCTCTTTGAATTCATTGGTTAATTTTTAAAAAAAAAATTCCTTTAATGCCATTTTAGCAGACTTTTGGGAGAGAATCAAGATAAAGCCACGTGTTCAATCTGCAAAATGTCATCTCAAGATCAGTTTTGTATGTTGTTACTGTTTTCTTACTGCTTCCTCACCCCCACTACACATTCAATGTCTTCACAATTAAACTTGACTCATGTACTTAAACATAAGTGTATTTTGAAAATGTATGTAACTGCCGGGCGCAGTGGCTCATGCCTGTAATCCCAGCACTTTGTGAGGCTGAGGCGGGCATACCACTTGAGGTCAGGAGTTCGAGACCAGCCTGACCAACATGGATAAACCCCGTCTCTACTAAAAATACAAAATTAGCCGGGCGTGGTGGCAGGCACCTGTAATCCCAGCTACTGGGGAGGCTGAGGCAGGAGAATCGCTTGAACCCAGGAGGTAGAGGTTGCCGTGACCCAAGATTGCACCATTGCACTCCAGCCTGGGCAACGAGCAAAACTCTGTCTGAAAACAAAAACAAAAACAAAACAAAACATAAAATGTATGCATCTTAAAATTTTACAATAACATTATTGTAAATACATCTCATTCAGCTTCTTGTCTCATTCAGTAACTATTTTCCAGCTTTCTCCTACACTTCTGCTATGTCGTGCTTTAGTCCTGATTGCTACAGGATTGTACATCTTATTTCACTTATCCATCCTTTTAGGAGGGACAAGTAGCTTACCTTTAACTCTGCTACGATATGTTACAATAGAGTAAACATTTTAGCGTGTCTTCTTATGTGTCAGGAAATTTATTATTATTATTTTTTTTTTGAGATGGAGCCTGGCTCTGTCGCTCAGGCTGGAGTACAGCGGCACAATCTGGGTTCACTGCAACCTCCGCCTTCCAGGTTCAAGCCATTTTTCCACCTCAGCCTCCCAAGTAGCTGGGATTAGAGGCATTTGCCACCATGCCCAGCTAATTTTTGTATTTTTGGTAGAGACAGGGTTTTGACATGTTGGCCAGGCTGGTCTCAAACTCCTGACCTCAGGTGATCCGCAAGCCTCGGCTCCCAAAGTGCTAGGATTACAGGTGTAAGCCGCCCCACCCAGCCTATTTCTTTTTTATTTTTGAGACAAGTTCTTGCTGTGTCGCTCAGGTTGGAGTGCAGTGGTACAATCACAGCTCACTAAAGCTTTGACCTCCGGGGCTCCAGTGATCTTCCTACTTCAGCCTCCTCAATAGCTGGGACTACAGGCATGTGCCACCATGCCTGGCTAATTTTTGTATTTTTTGTAGAGATGGGGTTTTGCCATGTTGCTCAGGCTGGTCTCGAACCATCTACCTGCCTCAGCCTCCCAAAGTGCTGGGATTATAGGCATGAACCACCACACCCAGCTAGAAAATTTATATTAGATATATACCCAAGAATAGGTTGTGGGGACATAGGATTTACACATATTAAATTTAAACTACCAGATTTATTTCCAAAACGGCCATGGCAATGAACATTTCTGAACCCTTAACATGATAATTGGCGCTGGGACTCTCCCAGAGGAGAACGGAATATGCAAATTTATATGACCGTGGAACTCTTTCCTTGGAAAGCATCCTGAGGCTCTACTTCCTCACAGAATGCTGGGAGATACTGCTGTTGATTAAGCAGGAATGGAGCACTGTTTGGGAGATGGGGAAAGATTAGTTTCTATTGAACCATCTTTTTTTTTTTTTTTTTTGGAGACGGCATCTCGCTGGCTAGAGTGCAGTGGCGCCATCTCGGCTCACTGCAACCTCCGCCTCCCAGGTTCAGTTCAAGCGATTCTCCTGCCTCAACCTCCTGAGTAGCTGGGATTATAGGCATGCACCATCACACCTGGCTAATTTTTGTATTTTTAGTAGAGATGGAGTTTCACCATGTTGGCCAGGCTGGTCTCGAACTCCTGACCTCGTGATCCACCCGCCTTGGCCTCCCAAAGTGCTGGGCTTACAGGCGTGAGCCACTGCGCCTGGCCTGGAAAGATTAGTTTCTATTGAGCCATCTTTTCTTTTTTTTTTATTCATTCTTTTTTTTTTTTTTTTTTTTGAGATGGGGTCTTGCTCTGTCACCCAGCCTGGGGTGCAGTGGCACGATCTTGGCTCACTGCAACCTCTACCTCCTGGGTTCAAGCGATTCTCCTGCCTCAGCCTCCCGAGTAGCTGGGACTGCAGGCACACGCCACTACGCCCAACTAATTTTTGTAGTTTTAGTAGAGATGGGGTTTCACCATGTTGGCCAGGATGGTCTCCATCTCTTGACCTTGTGATCCACCCAGCTCGGCCTCCCAAAGTGCTGGGGTTACAGGCGTGAGCCACTGTGCCTGCTCGGAGCCATCTTGTTTTCAACCTAACAGGGTCGTGCTATATAACCCTCACTGCAGAGCGAGTCCTTATTTGCTGCCTAATGCAAAAACTTGCTTTTCTGTTATCTGGGAAAAGACAAAATGTCCTTTCTAATACTTTGTTGTTAATTTCTAACATGAGTCGAGACTCACCCTGGGATTTTTTTTCCACAGCTATGAGCAGGTGAGATTCAGTGATCAAAACTGTGACTATTCCAGTAAAACAGGCGCATTTGTTCACCAACTACTGATAAGAACAACAAGACTAGCATTCAGTTTAGACAAGCAGATAACACTATATTGTTACAAAGAAGAGGACTGATTTTAACTTTTTTTTTTTTTTTTTTAAGCCAGGGCCTTACTCTGTCACCCAGGCTGGGGTGCGGTGATCTTGGTTCACTGCAACCTCCACCTCCAAGGCTCATGCCATCCTCAAGTGATCTTTCCAACTCAGCCACCACACCCGGCTAATTTTTGTATTTTTTGTAGAGACGAGGTTTCATCATGTTGCCCAGGCTGGTCTTGAACTTCTGGGCTCGGTGATCCACCCACCTTGGCCTCCCAGAGTGCTGGGATTATAGGCATGCGCTACTGCACTTGACCTGATTTTAAGATTTTTTTTTTTGAGACTGAGTCTCGCTCTGTTGCCCAGGCTGGAGTGCAGTGGTGCAATCTCGGCTCACTGCAACTTCCGCCTCCCGGGTTCAAGTGATTCTCCTGCCTCAGCCTCCCGAGTAGCTGGGATTATAGGCATGCGCCACTATGCCCGGCTAATTTTTTGTCTCGAACTGCTGACCTCAAGTGATCCGCCCACCTTGGCCTCCCAAAGTGCTGGGATTACAGGCGTGAGGCACTGCACCTGGCCTGATTTTAATATTTTTACATAAAAAATAATAATTAGCTATCGAAGGTAAAATGGCTTTGAAAATGTATCAATCCAAAGTAGGGTATGTGGAAGATAACCTGTCCTAACCATGAAACAGAACCTCTGTGAAGACAGGGCCCAATTCTCCTAGTTCAGAAAGGCCTAGCCCAGCACCTGGCACAGAGGAGACATGATAACACAGTGTCAAACAAATACATTTAAAAATTGCATATTTTCAGTTTAAAGCCCTTATAGTGGAAGATTTTCAATTAAAAATTGTCTTCTCATCTTCTGCTTATGTAAGATTAAATTTTTTTTTTTTTTTTTTTGAGACAGAGTTTCGCTCTTTCGCCCAGGCTGGAGTGCAGGGGCGCTATCTCGGCTCACTGCAACCTCCGCCTTCTGGTTTCAAGTGATTCTCCTGCCTCAGCCTCCCGAGTAGCTGGGATTACAGGTGCCTGCCACCCTGCCCAGCTATTTTTTTTTTGTATTTTTAGTAGAGACGGGGTTTCACCATGTTGGCCAGCCTGGTACTGAACTCCTGACCTCATGATCCGCCTGCCTTGGCCTCCCAAAGTGCTGGGATTACAGGCATGAGCCAACGCGCCCAGCTGGATTAAATTTTTTTTTTTTTTTTTTTTTTTTTTGAGACAGAGTCTCGTCCTGTTGCCCAGGCTGGAGTGCAGTGGCAGGATCTGTACTCACTGCAACCTCCACCTCCTGGACTCAAGCAATTCTCAATTCTCCTGCCTCAGCGTCCCGAGTAACTGGGATTACAGGCACTCACCACAAAGCCCGGCTAATGTTTGTATTTTTGGTAGAGACGGGGTTTCACCATGTTGGCCAGGCTGATTTCGAACTCCTGACCTCAAGTGACCCACCCACCTCGGCCTTCTAAAGTGCTGGGATTGCAGGCATGAGCCACCATGTCTGGCCTGGATTAAATTTTTTTAAAGGTATGTAGATATCCTAAATACATCTCTGGGAAAATGTCCCCTAAACCACCCAAGAGTCAGGGTACATAGAATCAGGATAGAAAGCTTCATGTCTAGGATTAAGGACATGGAACTGACACCTGTATTAGGGTATCTGTCCATCCTTTCCACAGGCGTGGATTTCCGGCAGCCATATTTCTGTCACATAATACTGTTAATACCGGACTGATTAATTGAATCAAGTTGGATGCAGGCCCCAAGTTGGGCCAATCAGATTATCTCCTCTGGAAATTTGATACTGAATGATGAAAACCAAGCTAGTCTAGCTCAGTGGTTCTCCACCAAAGGCAATTTTTGCCCACAGGGGACACTGGCAATGTCTGGAGCCATGACGATTTTCACGACTTGGAGGTGAAGTAGAGTGGCTGCTACTGGCATCCAGTGGGTAGAGGCCAGAGGTGCTGCTAAACACCCTACAATGCGCAGGACAGCCCCACGACAAAGAATGACCTGGCCTAAAATGTCAATTGTGTGAGGCTGAGAGACTTGGCTCTAGGTTTGAGCTCTAGGTTTGAGCAAGGGAAGCCAACAAAGTCAACCATAGAGAGAGAAAAAAATCAAGAAGTTGCACAGAGGGGCTGAGCTTAGACACAGCGAGTTTTCTAGTGCCTGATTCCAGTTCCTTCCAGAGACCGGACTACATTTTTGCCCCTTTATTCTTCTAATAAATTGTCCTTTATACCTAAGATAGCTGGATGTGGTTTTAGTTAACTTGTAATCAAAATCACTTTATTTATCTATTTATTTGTTTGTTTGTTTATTTAGAGACGGAGTCTTGTTCTGTCGCCCAGGCTGGAGTGCAGTGGCATGATCTCAGCTCACTGCAACCTCCACCTCCTGGGTTCAAGTGATTCTCCTGCCTCAGCCTTCCGAGTGGCTAGGACTACAGGCGCCCGCCACCATGCAGGCCTAATTTTTGTATTTTTAGTAGAGACGGGGTTTCACCATGTTAGCCAGGTTGGTCTTGAATTCCTGACCTCAGGTGATCTGCCCACCTTGGCCTCCCAGAATGCTGGGATTACAGGCGTGAACCACGGCGCCTGGCCCAAAATCACTTTAATTAACACAAGAAGTATTCAAGTGAATGACTAAAGTGACCTAAGAAACACTAAGGCCTGGGCAGCTTAGAGATCACTCTAGTCTTTAAGATGATACAAAGAAATTAAATGAAATAGTCAGTGGTCATTGCTTATCCATGATAGTCGTGCTAGAATGAGTTGAAGCTTTTTGAAGAGCAAATGCATGTAAGACATGCCTGCACCATGCTTACCAGCCTTTTGGGAATCAGGACACCTGGCTGACTTGCTCTGCCACTATGCACAAGCCCCACTCAATGCCACCAACTCCGAGTCCTTCTATACAAAGCGCCTCACAGAGCTGCTACTAATTACACACTTCCAAGTGATTTCTATTGGAATTGTATTTTCTATTTCCATGTGTATATCAGGTTAGGTGCTGATTTCATTCCCCCACGTACAGAAATTCAATAAACGTTGTGTTCTATGGCAAATAATATAGTTTGGATATTTGTCCCCTCCAAATCTCATGTGGAAATTTGGTCCCCAGTGTTGGAAGTGGGGCCTGGTGGGAGGTGTTTTTGGATTGTGGGAACAGATCCATCATGCATGTCTCAGGGCCGTCCTCACGATCATGAATGAGTTCTTGTTATTAGTTCCTGCAAGAACTGGTTGTTGAAAAGAGACTGGCACCTTTGTCTTTCCCTTCCTTCCTCTCTCACTATGTGATCTCTGCACATGGCACCCCTTTGCCTTCTCCCAGGAGTGGAAGCTTCCTGAGGCTTCACCAGAAGCAAATGCTGGTGCCATGTTTCTTGTACAGCCTGTAGAACCATGAGCCAAATAAACCTCTTTTCTTTATAAATTACCCAGCTTCAGGTGTTCCTTCATAACAACATAAGTGGACTAGAACTGCAAGCCACTGGAAATGGTCTTTAAAAAAAAAAAAATTCAAGTGTAAAAAAATTTATCAGGCAGCCTCCTGAACCAGAATAGGTTCAGAGCAACTCCTGGAAATGGTCTTTGATACTCAATTTTTTCCCACAAGTTATTTTTTCCTTTATCTAAATTGAAGAAATATTGTGAATGAATTCATTTGTCTACATGTATGTTTTCTTAATCATTTCGGAGTCATTGACCCTTTTGGGACAATGGAGCCTGTCTCTGAAAATAATGCCCATCCAGTACAATTATACTCGAGTTAGGAACCCCTGCATTAAATACTTTTTCTTTTTCTTTTTCTTTTTTTTTTTTTTTTTTTTTTTGAGACAGAGTCTTGCTCTGTCACCCAGGCTGGAGTGCAGTGGCACGATCTTGGTTCACTGCAACCTCCGCCTCCTGGGTTCAAGCGATTCTCGTGCCTCAGCCTCTCAAGTAGCTGAGACTACAGGGGTACACCACTGCACCTGAGTAATTTTTTGTATTTTTAGTAGAGATGGGGTTTCACCCTATTGGCCAGGCCGGTCTCAAATTCCTGACCTCAGGTGATCTGCCTGCCTTGGCCTCTGAAAGTGCTGGGATTGCAGGTGTGAGCTACTGTTTCCGGCCCACTAAATACTTATTAACTGCCTACTCTGAGCTAGATGGTGATGGAAAAAAAAAAAAAGATGAATAATGTAGAGTTCTACCCCAGAGCAGCAAACACCCAGTTACAAGCCAGGGTGATACATGGTAAGAGAATACTATGGGAACCCGGCATAAAGGAATTTCATCCAGATTAGGGGATCCAGGAAAGATCCCTGGGGGCTGTGACATGTATACTGAGACTTCAAGCAAGTAGGAGAAAGCAAGGCCCACCCGAAGGATGGGGGCAGGGGTGGGTACATTCCAGACAGAGGGGAAAAGCATGCAGAAGGGAAAGAGCATGGCAGGTGCATGGAACACAGAAATGTTTGGTGTAGCCCAGCCAGTCATTGGTCTGTTAGTTCCCAGCTCCATTCTTGGTTTCGTCTGTATATCTGGGACTGAGAGCCTGCAAAACACATTTCCCAGATCCCTTTGCTAACTGGCTTCTGGCTAGGTGCTGCCAATGGAAGGTACTGGTGGAAGACTGGAGCCAGGAGGAGGAGAGACACTAAGTCCCCTGCTTTGGTGGCACTGCCACCAGTGGTAGTAGCCACCCCAATGAGTGGGGACCCCGGGGCCCAGCAATAGCTGTGGCAGGAGTCACTTCAGTAGCTTCAGAGACAGAAGGACTCTGGCAGTGGCAGTAATGGTGGTGGATGACTTCAGGTTCCACTGGCCTCAGCAGCACAAATCATTGGGAAACACAAGCGCAGGGCAACAGCAGTTTCCCTCTTGCTTCAGCCTAGAGTTTCAGGTAGTTCTACATCTGTGGGCAATGTTATTTTTTGCCACTCCAGCTCTTTCAACAGTTTTGAAATCAATTCCCTACATTATCTCTGTGTAAAATACTTAAAGTAGTTCATGTCTTTCTGACTGGATGCTGACTAATACAGCAACTGAATCAGAAACTATGATGAGTAGTTCCAGCTACTTGGGAGGCTGAGGTGGGAGGATCACTTAAGCCCAGGAGTTCAAGGCCAGCCTGGAAAACATAGTGAAACCCCATCTCAAAAAAAAGAAAAAGAAAAAAATGAACATGGTGAGGGGTGGAAGAGGGTTGCAGTGAGAGATTTGGTGGAATAGGTAATTCACTCAAGTTCATGTTAGGAAACGACCAGGTGTATGGACTTTATCCTAACAGCAGTGGAGACCCATGAAAGATCTTAAAGACATGGTCAACTTGGTCACTTTTGATTTTTATAAAGATCACTTGAGCTATAATACAGAGAACAGGTTTGAGCCACCTGAACTGAACACCAAATGTCCCAATAGGAAGCTGGGGCCAGGATCTAGGAGAGAACTTGCTGGTCTGCACTCGGGTTGTGGCAGTGAGGTTGAAGAGAAGGGACTGGAAGGATTTTTATGAGGTGGAATGGCCAAAATTTAATGGGGTACTGTGGCAGATTAAAGATGGCTACCACTGGACATGGTGGCTCACGCCTGTAATCTCACCACTTTGGGAGGCTGCGGCTGGCAGATCACTTGAGGTTAGGAGTTTGAGACCAGCCTGGCCAACATGGTGAAACCCCATCTCTACTAAAAATATAAACATTAGCTGGGTGTGGTGGTGTGTGCCTGTAATCCCAGCTACTCAGGAGGCTGAGGCACGAGAATTGCTTGAACTTGGGAGAAGGAGGTTGCAGTGAGCCGAGATTGTGCCACTGCACTCCAACCTGGACAACAGAGCAAGACTCCATCTCAAAAAAAAAAAAAGATGGCTACCAATTTATTAATACTCTTCCAACGGAGAGACAGGCTCTACAGTTCTTCCATCTGAATTTTGGTGTGCTCTGTGATTGCACTGACAAACAGAACAAGACAGAAGTGACTCTGGGCCAGTTTCTGGGCCCAGGCCTTAAGAGACAAGCAACTTCCACTTCTTGTTTCTTTCAACACAACCACTCTGAGAAGTGCAAGCCAAACAGAGAGGCCACGCATAGCTGCTCTGGTTGACAGCCCCAGCTGAGCTCCCAGCCGATGGCCAGCCTCAGCTGTCAGCCACGTGGTTGTGCCATCTTGGATGTCCAGTCCAGTAAAACCTTCAGATGACTGCAGCCCAGCCACTAACTGAAGCCATCTGAAAGCCCAGGCAATTACCACCTGGGTGACCCATTCGATCCGTAAGAGATAATAATATGTTTTTTTTTTAAGCTGCTATTTTTTTTTTCAACTTAAGCCACTAAATTTTGGGGGTGGTTTGTACACTAGAATAGAAAACCAGAATAGATGTGGAAGGAGAGAGAGACAGCAGAACCAAGGATGATATCTAGAATTCTGGTTTGAGCAGAAATAAAGACTGGAAGTAGGGCTGGGTGCTGTGCTCCCACCTGTAATGCCAGCACTCTGGGAGGCTGAGGTGGGCGGATCACTTGAGGCCAGGAGTTCAAGACCAGCCTGGACAACATGGTGAAATCCTGTCTCTACTAAAAATATAAAAATTAGCTGGCCATGGTAGCTGGCGCCTGTAATCCCAGCTACTCGGGAGGCTGAGGCAGAAGAATCACTTGAACCCGGGAAGCGGAGGTTGCAGTGAGCCAAGATCCTGCCATTGCACTCCATCCTGGGCGACAAGAGAAAAACTCTGTCTCAAAAATAAATAAATAAATAAATAAAATAAAGACTGGGAGCAGACAAACAGTTTTTAGGGGATGGTTCTGGGTGAATGATCATAAGCTAGGAAATATATATTTTTGGAACTATATTAAAATTCCTTTCTAGAGATCCCACTATGTTCCCTCTGCAGCATTAGCTATCCAGGTTTTACACAGGTTTATGTTTTATAGATACCTATCTCTAAGACTCTTTAAAATATTAGTTTTAATATCTCTTCCTAGAAGAAAAGTTGTATTTCTCCAAAGTATCAAGAGGAACTGGGGCCTGGCGTGGTGGCTCACACCAGTAACCACAGCACCTACGGAGGTTGTGGTGGGCAGACTGCTTGAGCCCAGGAATTCAAGACTAGTCTGGGCAACAAGGTGACACTCCATCTCTACCAAAAATACAAAAATTAGCTGAGCATGGTGGGCACATGCCTGTACTCCTAGCTACTCAGGAGGCTGCGGAGGGAGGATCACTTCAGCCCGGGAGGCTGAGGCTGCACAGAGCTATGGTTGTGCCACTGCACTCTGGCCTGGGCAACAGAGTGAGACCCTGTCTTAAAAAAGAAAAAAGGAAACTAGTACCAATATCATCATATTCAGTCCTTGTTGATCTAGGGCTCAACTTCCAAGTCCCCTATTCATTTGTCAAATATTTACTCATCCTCTACTAGTTGCTCAGCCCTTTACTGGCTGTCCAGGCTTCATATCCCTGCCCCTATGGAGTTTACATCCAATTTGAAAAGCAAAGAACAAGTGAAGAAAATAATTACCCCCTCTAATAAGAGCAGTGAGAAACAAGCAGGGTACTGATAGAGAATGATGGTTGAGGGGAAAGCTGAGACCTAAGGAAGTGGAAAAAGTTAGCTGTATGAAGAAGTGCAGGGGGAAGTGAGGGGTGGTAGCCATGGAACCAAGAGTACAAAGGCCCTCGGGTGGTTGAAAGCTTGACCAGATTCTAGGAACCGAAACACATGCATGTTTGGGGTTTAATGATCAAGGAGCCAAGGAGCACTAAAAAATAGAGTTGGAGAGACATACAGAGGCTAGATTAAGGTATTAGGTCATATTTAAGGATTTACAATGTATCCCTTTTTTTTTTTTTTTTTTTTTTGAGATGGAGTCTTGCTCTGTCTCCCGGGCTGGAGTGCAGTGGCGCCATCTTGGCTCACTGCAACCTCTGCCTCCCAGGTTCCAGCAATTCTCCTGCCTCAGCCTCCTGAGTAGCTGGAATTACAGATGTGCACCACCACACCAGGCTAATTTTTGTATTTTTAGTAGAGACGGGGTTTCACCATGTTGGTCAGGCTGGTCTCGAACTCCTGACCTCAGGTGATCTGCCTCAGCCTCCCAAAGCACTGGGATTACAGGCGTTAGCCACCATGCCTGGCTAGGATCTACAATGTATTCTAAGTACAAAAGATATACAGAAGCCTGAACATGATCTGATGCGTGTTTTTAGAAGATAATGGACAGAACAGATAGGAGAAGAGGAAAAAGAGAGGGAAAAAAGCCTGTTGAGAAACTGCCACAGTGATGCAGGAGAGAAAAAGATGGTCTGGGCTGAGGTTCGCTCTCATTTTCTTTCCTTAGATTAAATCTCTCCTTTTCAAAGGGCAGATGGATGCTTAGTAAAAACAGATCAGCAAACAATTATTCCCATGTACCCAAGTATAAATAAGACTCCATGGATTCCTGCTTTGCATAAAGGTTTGAAATATTTTATTTTATTTTTTTTTTGAGACGGAGTCTGGCTCTGTCACTCAGGCTGGAGTGTAGTGGCGCGATCTTGGCTGACTGCAACCTCAGCCTCTCGGGTTCCACTGATTCTCCTGCCTGTCTCCCGAGTAGCTGGGACTACAGGCATGTGCCACCACACCTGGCTGATTTCAAGATTTGAAATATTTTAAAGATTGATGGTGTCCTGGTTTGATCTTGGGTTTTGGCACCAAAAAATAAAATTAAAAATAAAGATTGATGTTTACCACTCATCTTCACCAACCAACCTACTTCCCCTAAACCTAAGGTTTCACTGTAGCAGGAACTACCATCTGTGGCATGAGATCAACTCAACCAATTAGTGGCTTTCAAGCCTCTTCACCTTAAGCAGTATTTGTCATCTACAAGTTCCCTTGCAACTGGAATGGGTGGGGTGGAAGATCCAAGAAAAGCACAGAATTTTCTTTTTTTGAGACAGGGTTTTGCTCTGTTGCCCAGGCTAGAGTGCAGTGGCATCATCATGGCTTGACCTTCCTGGGCTCAAGTGATCCTCCCAGCTCAGCCTCCTGAGTAGCCAGGACTGCAGGCTCATGCCACCATGCCCAGCTGATTTTTTTTTTGAGACTGAGTCTCGCTTTGTCACCCAAGCTGGAGTGCAGTGGCACGATCTTGGCTCACTGCAACCTCTGCCTCCTGGGTTCAAGCAATTCTCTGCCTCAGACTCCTGAGTAGCTGGGATTACAGACGCCTGACACCACGCCCAACTAATTTTTGTAGTTTTCGTAGAGACGGGGTTTCACCATCTTGGGACGGGTTGGTCTTGAACTCCTGACCTCGTGATTCACCCGCCTTGGCCTCCCAAAGTGCTGGGATTACAAGCGTGAGCCACTGCACCCAGCCTGCCCAGTTTTTTTTTTTTTTTTTTTGAGACGGAGTCTCACTCTGTTGCCCAGGCGGGAGTGGAGTGGCGCGATCTCGGCTCACTTCAGCCTCCGTCTCCCGGGTTCAAGCGATTGCTCTGCCTCAGCTTCCCGGGTAGCTGGGACTACAGGCACGTGCCACCATGCCCGGCTAATTTTTGTATTTTTAGTAGAGATGGGGTTTCACCATATTGGCCAGGCTGGTCTCAAACTCCAAACTCCTGACCTTGTGATCCGCCTACCTCAGCCTCCCAAAGTGCTGGGATTACAGGCATCAATCACCGTGCCCGGCCTCCAGCTAATTTTTTTTATAGGGACAGTGTCTCTGTTACCTAGGCTCTACAGCACAGGCTGGTCCCAAGTGATTCTCCCATCTCCCACTCCTGGCCCCAAGTGATCCTCCCATCTCAGCCTCCCAAAGTGTTAGGATTACAGGTGTGAAGCACTGTGCCTGGCTCAGGTACAACATTTTAGATGCACTCAGTCCGTTAAGGCTTAGTCCAGGTTTGATTGTTATTGTCCTTCTGTTGGGCCATAGGGCCTGTACTGTGAACTAAAATGAACTTCAGTGTTAAGTAAGGAAGGGATCCTTATTAGCCTTAAATTCAATTCCCTTATCTCAGTGTCTTCAAGTTTCTCACAACTCTTGAGTATCGATAAAATAGTCTTCACCTAAAACATGGTTAACATAATTCAGTTGACATGCTTAAATTTCTCTTCAAGAGCCAGAGGCTGATGGCAATTGTGAAAAAAGCTCTTTATTGTTATTGCTAATAAAAAAAAAAGGGCCAATAGTCAGGTGTGGTGGCCTGTACCTCTTGTCCCTGCTACTGGGGAGACTGAGGTGGGAGGATGGCTTGAGCCCAGGAGATCAAGGCTGCAGTGAGGCATGATTACACCGCTGCACTCCAGCCTGGACGACAGGGTGAGATTGTCTCAGAAAAATAAAGAAAAAGGGTTATTTCATATTGGTTCAAAAATATAGGTAGTATGACCCCCTGATGACTTGAAGACAGAGCAACAGAAGGACCTTCTTTAGTCATCATTAGCTTAGCCAAAAGAAAAGTCAGTTACACTCACTGTTGCATAATCAGTTGTATGGTCAACTGTGCACTAATTCATTTGGTCACAAATATATACAATCAAATTAAGGTTGAATGTAAATTTAAACTTTACTTTTGCTTTCTTCTCCCCTCCCCCCCAGAAAGATCCATGGTCCAATATAACATATCTTCTTCAAGTATTTATGGGGTAAGAAACATTTTAAAAAGTTGTTACATTCTTTCCTCTATCTTAATGATTTAAATATGAGCAAGTTCGGTCTATCAAGGCAGGCTCTGAATAGCTACTATCGAGAAGTATTTGAGGAGTTCTTGAATGCCAAATCTTCATTGTCTGCTGACTCTGCAGATTTATCACGTGCTGAAAGCACAGGTTTTCCAACTGTCAACGTCTTTACGAAATTCACCTGCTTAGGCTTTCGTGGGGTCGGCCTCTTGGAGCTGAGAACACAGCTTCTGCTTACACCTGTGTCCTCAATGAAGCCAGAGATTCCTAAGAGAATTCTAGAAAAAGAGGAGCGGGGTAGAAGGCAAGCAAGGAACAGTTTCTAAGCTTAGGGCCTAAACCTTTGCATACAAGGATCAGCTACCACGTTTACAGCGGCTTTAAGTTACAGCCCTCGGTAGGTGCAGATCGGCTTCCCAATGAAACCTGGCTTTCACTTTCATCTCTGTTAAGGGTTACCTTTTCAAAAGAAGCCGCTTTTCCTCCTACCAATTTCCTAAAGCGCCCACCGGCAACGCACTAAACAAGGAGGGCACAGAGCGGGAAAAAGGACACGTGTGATTTCCGAACTCTTCCCGGCGGGCTCCGGGCCCCGGCAAGCCCAGCCCCGCGGGAGGAACCAAGGCCGCCACCCCCGAGAGGCAGCCCGGCCCGCGCTCCTCGCCCACGTGGCCGCCGCACGCGCCCGCTCAAAGTCCAAGGGCGGCGATCCGGCTCTGGGACCTTGGACCGAGCGAGCTCCCGCCCCGACGGCGGGAGTCAGAACGGTGGTGGCCAGCAGTCCCCGCCCGCGGCTCCGTGCACCTCCACCCCGGCCCGCGCGCCGCCTCCCGAACCACCGTGGCAGAGGCCGCAAGGGGAACCGGAAGCCAAAATGGCGACGCCCCGCCCTTTTCCTCTCGCGAGAGGCGGGGAAGGAAAAAAAGTTGTGCGAGCGACGGGGACGTAACCAATTAGAGTGCCGGGAGCGCCTGATTGGCGGCCCTCCCGGCGCCTGCAGGCCCCGCCCCGGCTGCGGAGGCTCAGTCACAGCCCTCCCCTCCTCGCTCCCTCCCCTCCTCTCCCCGCCCAGTTCTTCTCTTCCCGTCTGAGGTGGCGGTCGGTCTCGCCTTGTCGCCAGCTCCATTTTCCTCTCTTTCTCTTCCCCTTTCCTTCGCGCCCAAGAGCGCCTCCCAGCCTCGTAGGGTGGTCACGGAGCCCCTGCGCCTTTTCCTTGCTCGGGTCCTGCGTCCGCGCCTGCCCCGCCATGAATGAGGAGTACGACGTGATCGTGCTGGGCACCGGCCTGACGGTGGGCGCCAGGGCTGAGGGGCCGGGGCTGAGCAGCCGGGGCGGGCGCACCCCCGGCTCCTGCACGGCCCGCGGGTCGCAGCTCCTCGGGGGTCTCGTTCTGCCGTCAGCCGTAGTTTTCGGGACGGGAGTCGTGGCTAGGGGCGCGGGCGGGTTCAGGGGCGCCCCGCGTCCCGGGGCGAGCGGGCGGCTCCCAGTGTGAGGGGCAGGCGGGGAAATGGAGATGCGGGCCGTGAGGCTCGGGGCGGGGTGACGGCCGAGCCCGGCCTCTGCGCTTGCCCCCAGCGGAAGCGGAGGGGAGGGGAGAAGGCCGCCCGGGCCAAGGGTCCCGCTCCCCGGTTTGGGCCGGTGACCTCGCCCGGTTGGAAACCAGCACCCGAGGCGGAGGGGACGGTGCAGGCCTCGCGGTTGCATTTCCTATTCCGCCTCGGCCGCTGCCCCGGGTCAGTCTGGCTGCCAAAGCCGAGTACGGGGTTTCCTGACAAGTCTTGGATAATCACTGCTTCGGAACTGCTAGGGCTTGATTAACTTATATTTTTGGCGAAAACGTGGAAATTAGTCTTTTAATCCTTTCTCCCCCCTGCTAATGAGAAGTATTATTGAATCCTTTTAGCCACCCTCCCTTCTCACTTACTGAGCATCTGTAGAATTGGAATTGAGTTTTTTCAAAACTTGTCCGTCAAATGCTTTCGCACCTGACCTTCGCCGCCTTTTCCTTTTGTTTGGTGGGTTCTCTGCCTCCTTTGTCTCTTCTGGACTGTTTTCCCCTAAGAATTGGGTTGGTGATGGATTGCTAAAAGCCAAGTTCTCTGTACTCCGAAGCTTTCTTCAGGGAGTTGGAAGATAATAACATGAAGAATGCATTGTAATATATGAATGCAAGGTGTACCTAATATCATGGTATATTGATTTTCCTGGTTATCTGTTTCTAAGGGAACTTTAGGTAATCTGTAGATAACGCAGGCAGGTTCTGTAGTTTGTACTTTTTCTGTTCTTTTTTTTTTTTTTTTAAATGTTCATCTTGCAAAAGAATTCACTTTGGAGAAAACCATTTTAACTATCAATTTTTGGGGAAATTTGAAATTCTAACTTTGGGCTGCTTGATCATAATTAAGATGAATACTGATGTAAATCTTGTGTATCCTATGTACTCTGACTTCAAATTCCTGAGTCATTTAATGTAGACTTCCACTTCAAATTTTTTGAAATTTATTATAATCTCTCAGGGTCAAACCAATTTTTTTTTTTTTTTTTACAGGTAACATCCCAAAATAACACTTTTAGATGTCTCTAGGCAAGAGAAAACCTTCGAACTTTTATTTGGCTAATTTTTTAGGAAAGGTTTGTGAAGAATTAGAATCGTGTTTTTCTGGTCTGTCATTTTTCTGTTTATAGTTATATGCAATTATTAGAGAATATTCATTCTGAATACTTCGTTATGTTTGACCAATCCAGGAATAATCCTGTGTCTGTCTTTGAAAAGCTGGAAGACTGTTGGATGCCTAAATGAATAGGCCCTACCCACTGCAGGTTTTGTGCTTTTTTTTTTTTTTTTTTAAGTGCCTAATTGGGATTCCAAGCTGAGCTTAGTAGTTTGTGGTGGATTTTGCCTGTTGGAATGGGTAGTGTTGCTGCCAGCGTGTTTTAAGAGCCGGTTAGTTCCACCGTTTTTCTATGGTTGTTGCTGGTCTTTCAGATTTGCTCACAATTGAGGTCAGTTAAGCATGCACGAGTGAGTGCAAATCCACCATCATGCAGGCTTCCACAAGCCTCGTTCACATCACTTTGTATCAAAGATGGTGAAAGTGTTTTTATATAACAAGTTAAGATAATGAGCTTTGTTTAAATTTTCATTCGGATTGTGAACTCTTTGATGAATGGTAGATGCATACTTAACTAGAAATCAGACCTGTTTCTGCTGTCATTTTGTAGCTGTGATAACTTTAATCTCTGTGAGCCTTCCTAAGTTTTCTGAGATGTTCTTTGATAATTATATCAATTCAGGACAATCACATTATTACCATCATTGATAGGAGTAGTGATGACAGGATGATTTTGATAATGAGAAATCATATATCCTTATTTTTAGTGTTACCAGGAATTAGATGATTAAAAATTAGAAGAAGAGAAAACCAAAGTTAGCACTCAGAATTAACTTTTGAATGTCTGGAGTTAATTAATTTTCTTAAAATTTACTTTAGTGCCTGAGACTTAAGAACCTAAAAAAAGGCAAGTACTTTCAGTGTTAGGAACTTGTTACTTTTAAAGAAGTGTAAGGAAGTGCTGGAGTTGCTGTGTTGCTTAGTGCTGCCATTGTTTGTATGAGTTGTTAAGTCTAAGCTCATAATCACAAATATTGATAGTTATCTTAATCAAGAAGATACAAAACGATTTGGTATAAAGGAGTAAAATCTTCATTCTGTGTGTAAAAGAAATGGAATATTCCACACAATTGAATTTTCTGAGGAACTAAAGGTTATCTCTAAAGAGCACAGCTTTTGGATAATGCCTTTCTAAATGCTGTCACAACTTCTTTAACAAACTAAGAAACATAATTTACTTGATAACCAAGTTTTCACATAGTGAAGATTAACTATTGTGTTATGCTGTAACATGGTGAAGCCATGAAGACCCCGCCAGCTTTGTAGGAACTTTTGCCCCCTTTACTCTCAGGCTGCTATGCTTTTTGAGCTCTTCAGTTTACTCTTCATATTTTTTCCCTCTATCTTACTTTACTGTTAGGCTGGCAACATTTACTTTTCTCTGCTTTCAGCATGTGTAGGCAGCCTCTCACCACATAATTTGCACATAGTTCACTATGGACTTGGAAATAAATTCACGAGTCTTGTTAGACATAGTAGATTAAAACAATAAGAGTAACTAGTTCCACAGCTGTTTGTGCTTCCCAGAGGTTTTTTTCTTCCCATTTTTTGTTCTACACAGTAAGAATTTATGAATAGAAATATATACTTTAGTGATGTATACCAGATGATTCTCAGCATCATATGTTTAAAAACTTGCTTTACATCCCAGATACTTTTCCTCATTTCTCTTTATCAGAATTTTGTGATTTCAGATTCAGAGAAGGTTTTATACTTGATTTTAAAATTCTGAACTAAAATTCAGATTGCCTCTTGGATTTGCTTAATCTTTGATTTGCTCTTTGAGAGTTCTTGCTTATAGCTGTGTTAGAGTTCTGTAGACAAAGGACTTTCTATTCACTACAGTAGTGAGCATAGGATCAATATTTGCAAATGCTGTTACACTTGGGAGCTGTGTTGTAGGCAGTTTAAACCAGCGTTAAGCATCCTGGCCAAAAGAAAATATAAGTGAAATTAGACATATTTTAGCATGTAGAGATGACAATAGTGTGACATTGGTTTTTAAAGACCACTGGTAGATGTTCACATGCGTGATACACTGCAATTACCTCTGTCTTCCCTCCCATGGTACCTGATTGGAGACTCTTACTGGAGTAATAGTTTCAGTTTCAGTTATTTAAACCCAGTGACTATTGTGATCAGTTATGGGCAGTAAAAAGGTAAACACAGAACCTGTCTATAAGTAGCTTGTTCTCGTGTTGGAGAGTAACTAATAAGAATTAGTATGAGAAAGCATTAAGTCCCCTAAGAGGTGCACTTATATGAGTTCAGTCAGGGAATCAGGAAAACCTTCGTAAAGAAGGAGATATTTAGCTGGCTTTAAAAAAATATTGGCAAGGTTTGAATGGAGGAATGATTTTTTAGGCAGAGAGCAGTCAGTGTAAGTCAATGCTAAGTCAAGGATGTATGTAGGGAATGGGGAGTGGTTTGTTTTGCTTGAAACAGAAGCTTTGGAGAGAGATTCTAGGCTAAGAAATGTGAAAATTATCTTCAAGGCAGTGAGAGAGGACTTTGAGCAGGAGAGTGATATAATTAGCCACATTTCAAGAGAAGGTATCTTTTGACAGTTTTTTTTTTTGTTTTTTTTTGAGATGGAGTCTCACTCTGTTGCCCAGGCTGGAGTACAGTGATGTGATCTCGGCTCACCGCAACCTCTGCTTCCCAGGTTCAAGCAGTTCTCCTGTCTCAGCCTCCCGGGTAGCTGGGATTACAGGTGCCTGCCACCATGCCCAGCTAATATTTGTATTTTTAGTAGAGATGGGGTTTCACCATATTGATCAGGCTGGTCTCGAACTCCTAACCTCAGGTGATCCACCCGCCTAGGCCTCCCAAAGTGCTGGGATTATAGGCATGAGCCACCGCGCCTGGCTGACAGTTTTTAATGAGATGCATTAGAGGGGCAGAGTCATTTAAAGAAACATTCTTCATAAAACAGCCATTTTTATTATGTTGCTGTAAGATACTTGCCATTGAAATGAACTGATTTAAAATTTTTCTGGTTAATTTCTCATGTTTCTAGGTAAGTAGTTTTGAAAAGGCACTTTAATATTAGTTATTAGATACTTTGTACTCCTGATCACATTTGTGTGTGTGTGTGTGTGTGTGTATTTGTAGTTTTTTTTTTTTTTTTTTTTTAATAACAACAATACTTTTTATTTCTGAGACAGAGCTCTCTGTTACCCAGGCTGGAGTGCGGTGGTTCAATCTCAGCTCACTACAACCTCTGCCTCCCCGGTTCAAGTAATTCTCCTGCCTCAGGCTCCCAAGTGGTTGGAATTACAGGTGCTCACCACCACGCCCGGCTAATTTTTTTGTATGTTTAGTAGCGATGGGGTTTCACCATGTTGGCCAGGCTGGTTTTGAACTCCTGACCTCAGGTGATCTGCCTGCCTCAGCCTCCCAAAGTGCTGGGATTACAGGCGAGAGCCACCGCACCCAGCCCATAACAGAACTTTAAAATGCAGTAGGATTTGATAGGGTGTAGAGGATTTTTTGTTTGTTTGTTTTTGAGACAGGGTCTCGGTCTCTTACCCAGGCTGGAGTGCAGTTGTGTGATCACAGCTCACTGTAGCCTCAACCTTCCAGGCTCAAATGATCCTCCCACTTCAGCTTCCCAAGTTAGCTGGAACTACAGGAGGCATGTAGTTTGGGTATTTTTTGTAGAAATGGGGTTTTGCCATGTTGTCCAGGCTGGTCTCAAACTCCTGGGCTCAAGCAGTTCTTCTGCCTCGTCCTCCCAAAGTGTTAGGATTACAGGCGTGAGCCACCTTGCCCAGCCAGGGTATAGAGTTTAGTTTGTCACTAGGAAGGTATATCAAAATATTAATAAATTTTGGCTCTATTCCCTTCCAAGTCTAAATTGCTCTGTAATCGGGGTTGGGGAGTGGGCATTAATTTTTCAGCATACCATTGTTACTGGCCGTGGAAACACCATGTAGGTGTAACAATTCATATATAGAAATTTCATTCAGCCTCTTCAGGTGCTTTGTCTAATATATTTGGGTGTTGTCCAAATGAGTTATTCTGTTTTTGATGATTGCAACTCTGGTGGTATGTGTAGGGTGCTGAAGGAAGAGAACGTCAGTATCGCTGATGGTTCTGTCCCCCAGCCCCACATCCACATATCTACACGTACTAGCACTTTGGTGCAATTAAATATTAAAAACCATTTTGGTTGGTTACCTGTTTTTATGTAGGAGAACGTCAAGTGCCAGGTGGGTGGCAGATGCTAGTGTCATACAGAACTTGGATTCTGAAGATGGTTTTATAGTCTTAGTGATTTTGGATGTGAATATGTATTCTTATCCTGCTTAGGTCATTTGTAGGTGAGTTTGAAGTTACAGTGGGTACTCTTACCTGTTACATTTACAACTCATGTTGGTGAATATTCATTCACATACAAGTTTCGTGGTTAAAGTTACTTGATGTACATGATAGATGGACCAGCTTTTCTAGTGTGAAAAAGAGAAGCTTAGTTTTTATGGCTTTAATGTGCTTTGCTTGTGAATATTGTGTATTCATCAGATAGGTTGTAGTAGAATTTAATTTTGAGCTGGTAATTTTGGAAAAATATTAAAATTTTAGGATCATTAATATATACTGTGCCCAGATATGACTGATAAATTCTATCAATTAATGACTTCACCCATGTTTTAAAACAAAGCTTATTATGTTTGTGCTATTATATATTCTTTTAGCAGTGTGGAAGCAGTCTTTTATAATAGTTGGGTATAGAGGAACTAGTGGGCCTGCAGATTTTTTATTAGCTTTAGTTAGCTCTTGTCATATTTGCTCCAAGTGGTGCCTTTGAAGGTAGTTGCTGTCAGCTCTTTGGACTCGGCCACATCTTTAAATTACTGGGCCCTTTATTTTAGGCCTCAGTGCTTGCTTTACGGCCATAGTCCAGTGGGTCATGCTTAGTGTGAAAGGTTATATATAGAAGCTGTGCAACACTCCAATTTGCTTGCTGAGATTTTGCTTTCAAAAGTCTGCAGTCTACTTTTGTCAGCTGGGAATGTAACTGTCTTCCTCTGCTGTGTCATAACTTATTTTTAAGATAGTAAATATTTTATTTTCATATGTGGAACTATATGTTGGTGCTGCTTTAGGTTGTTTTCTTCCCCCACCCCCCAAAAGTAAATTGTTTTAGTCAGTATTAGGGTTGATTTTTGTAGTTGTTAAAATACCTTCATTTCCTTTTATGAAGACATAATGAAGAAAGTGAAAAGGCAGGCCACAGAATGGAAGAAGATAATTGCAGTACATGTAACTAATAAAGGATTTATATATAGTATATAAAGTACTTTTATAAAGCAGCGAGAAAAAGCCCATTTAAAAAATGGGGAAAAATTTTGAATAGGCACTTATCATAAGTGCCTTATCACTTAGCTTGATCATCAGTAAACGTTTTTTTGTTTTTTTTTTTTTAAATTTTCTTTTGTAGAGATGGGGGTCTCACTGTGTTACCTGGGCTTAAGCGATTCTCCCACCTTGGCCTCCCAAAGGGCTGAGATTATAGGCATGAGCCACCATGCCCGGTCCCTAATCATTAATCAACTATTTAAAAAGTGTTCAACCTTATTTGTCCTCAGGAAATGCAAATTAAATCACTTCTTAACTAGAATGGCTAAAATTAAAAAGGCAACAGTGTAAGTGGTCAAGGATTTGAAACAGTGGGGACTCACTGCGGACAAAAGTGTAAATTGGTACAACCGTTTTTGGAAAGCTGTTTGGTAATATCTGTTGAAGTTGAATGTATTTATACTCTTCTTGATATATAACAGAAATGCACACTTAGAAGACACATGCGAGAATGTTGATAGAGCATTATTTGTAATAGTGAAAAACTGGAAACTATCCAAATATCCACCAGGAGTAAAATGGAGAAGTAAATTGTGGTATAGTCATTCAGTGGAATCGTCTACAGCTGTGTTACCCAAAGTGTGCTGCATAGATCAGCTGCATCTGCAACACCTGAGAATTTACCAGAAATGCGGAAGTTTAGGCCCCAACTCGGATATTACACAGAATCAGAATCTACAGTTTAACAGGATCTCCAGGTTATTCTTATATATAATAAAATTTGCAAACACAGCTTTAGTAATTCTTGAAATTGGTCCTGGACCAGCATCATCAGTATCACCTCATCAGCATCAGTGGTGGCTGACACCTGTAATCCCAGCACTTTGGGAGGACAAGGCAGGAGGATTGCTTGAGCAAACCTTGCTTTGCAAGGCCAAGGCTGGGCTACATAGTGATATCCTGTTGCTACAAAAAATTAAAAAATTTGGCAGGCGTGGTGGCACATGTCTGTAGTTCCAGCTTCTCAGGAGGCTGAGGTTAGAGGATCTCTTGAGCCTGGAGGTTGAGGCTGCAGTGAGCCATGATCACACCACTGCACTCCAGGCTGGGCAACGGAGTGAGACCCTGTCTGCATCCTGCCAACCTTTTTTTTTTTTTTTTTTTTTTTAAAGAGCAAATTCTCAGATCCAACCTCAGACCTACTAACTCAGAAGCTCTGTAGATGGGGCCTAGCAGTCTGTGTTTTCAAGCCCTCCAGGTGATTTGGATACAACCTGAAGTTTGGAAATCTGGGTAGAATTTACATTTCTAACAAGTTGGCAGGTGATGCCAAGTCAGGAACCACACTGAGATGCCCTGCTTGCAGGGTTAGCCATACACTCTGAAAAGCTCCCGATAGTAGCCGGGTGCCATGGCTCACCCCTGTAATCACAGCACTTTGGGAGGCTGATGCGGGTGGATCATGAGGTCAGGAGTTTGAGACCAGCCTGTCCAAGATGGTGAAACCCCATCTGTACTAAAAATACAAAAATTAGCTGGGCGTGGTGGCGCACACCTGTAGTCCCAGCTACTTGGGAGGCCGAGGCAGGAGAATCGCTTGAACCCAGGAGGCAGAGGTTGTGGTGAGCTGAGATCGTGCCATTGCACTCCAGCCTGGGCAACAAGAGAGAAACTCTGTCTTTAATAAAAAAAAAAAAAAGCTCCAGATAGTAAATATTTTAGGTTATGTAGACGTTCTGGTCTCTGTCACAGCTGCCCAACTCTGCTGTGGTACTAGGAAAACAGCCATAAACAGTATGTACATGAACAGATATGGGTATTTACCAATAAAACTTCACAGAAATAGCCTTCAGGCTGGATTTGTCTCATCTCTGGGGACCTTTGCTCTATAGCAATGATAATAAATAGACCATGCACAAAACATGAAAGAATCTTAAAACGTGTTGCATAATGTCAGACGCAGAAAGTTAATACACATGATTAGATTTTTAGAGTTCAGAAGCGGGCAGAACAAATCTTTGCTATTAGAAATTATGAGAGTGCTGGGGGATGGTGGTGGTTATGATTGGAATACGGCATGAGGGCCTTCTGGAGTGCTCAGAATGTTTTGTTTCTTGAGCTAAAGAAAGAATGATTCAGGCTGGGCGTAGTGGTTCATGCCTGTAATCCCAGCACTTTGGGAGGCCAAGGTGGGCAGATCACTTGAGGCCAGGAGTTCAAGACCAACCTGGCCAACACGGTGAAACCCCATCTCTACTAAAAATACAAAAATTAGCCAGGCGTGATGGTGCATGCCTGTAATCCCAGCTATTTAGGAGGCTGAGGCAGGAGAATAGCTTGAACCTGGGAGGTGAAGGTTGCATTGAGCCAAGATCGCGCCACTGCACTCCAGTCTGGGCAACAGGGTGAGACTCCTATCTCAATAAAAAAAAAAAGAAAGAATGATTCACACTCCTATAGTGAAATTTGAACCTCATGGTAAGTAATTTAAGACATTTAAGAAATACTAAATGAATAGATATATTATGGAAGAAAACTTGAAATTTGTGTGAATTTTAAAAATACGGGTTTCAAAGTCAAATAGACTTGTAGAGAATAAGATTGTTCTTTGACATCTAGGGTCCTTTGGATAAATTTGAGAAATATTAAAGATTTATAAAGATACATGGAATTTCCTTTGTCTCTTTAAGAAATAAAGCACTGATCACTCAAACCCTTTTTGAGTGATTATATGCCCCATCTCTGTGTTTCTTCACATTAATTGTATTAATTTTTTCCCTCTTCTTAATTTGGTTTGTCTTAGTGTATTCATGCTTGCTTTATCTTTTTCCTGAGAGTGGTCATTTATACTTTTCGGTTGATGGTCAATTTATTGGTGGTTGTCCTATATGCTTTGCTTAGGGCTCTAGTTTTCAAACTTTTTAGTCTCAGGATCTGTTCACGTGCTAAAAAATTCAGGACCTTGAGCTTTTGTTTATAAAGGTTGTAGCTATTGATATTTATCATATTAGAAATGGAGGAATAAATAAATCACTGACAAATAATAAACCGATTACATGTTAACATGTATAACAATTTTAACTGTATATGTACTTTTTTTTTGTTATTGAGATAGGATCTCACTTTGTCACCCAGGCTGAAGTGCAGTGGCCTTATCACGGCTCACTGCACCTTTGCCCTCATGGGTTCAAGTAATCCTCCCACCTCTCAGCCTCTTGAGTAGCAGGGACTACAGGTGCTCACCACCACACCCAGCTAATTTTTGTATTTTTTGCAGAGATAGGGTTTTGCCCTGTTGCCCAGACTGGTCTCCATCCAACTCCTGGGCTTAAGCCATCTGCCTGAGTATATTTTCTAAAACAAAATTGTGAGAAGACTATCAATATTTCACGTTTTCTGCAAATCCTTTAATGTCTGGCTTAATAAAACTGAATTCACATACATGCTTCTGTGTTCAGTTCTGTTGCGATATATTGTCTAGGCTGAAGTATATGAAAACAGGTCTCACACAGACATGTAATTGGAAAAGGGAGGAGTAATTTAAATATAGCCTTTCAGGTTATTGTAGATATTCTTTGGTTTACACAAAAGCACAAGTGGTAGTTTTTAAGAGATAGCAGTATGAAATCTGAAGCCACATTAATGAATGTTTTATATTCTGATATATTAACACCCACTGATCTAGCTTGCACTTTGAATTCCTCTTTTTTCCTCCTGTGTGATTTTGTAATTTCATTCACCCGTTATTTGGAAAACAAGGTTTACTCTGAGTAAAGTGGGTCTTAATGTTGACATGTTTCATTTTACATTATCAAAACATCATATTTGTTAGTATTGTCACTGATAATGTTAGAAAAGTTCTTCATGTATTGGGGAACCTGACGTGTGCCCATGGTGGTAGTTGTAAGTTTTCCATAATTCTTTTTTTTTTTTTGAGATGGAGTCTTGCTCTGACACCAGGCTGGAGTGCAGTGGCGCGATCTCGGCTCACTGCAGCCTCCAACTCCCTGGTTCAAGCGATTCTCCTGCCTCAGCCTCCCGAGTAGCTGGGATTACAGGCATGCGCCACCATGCCCAGCTAAGTTTTGTATTTTTAGTAGAGATGGGGTTTCACCATGTTGGCCAGGATGGTCTCAATCTCCTGACCTTGTGATCCACCCGCCTCGGCCTCTCAAAGTGCTTGGATTACAGGTGTGAGCAGCTGTGCCCGGCCAAGTTTTCGGTAATTCTAATTTTCATTTAAAATTTGACTTATTGGCAGCACGTGTCAGTTATTTTCCTTTAGGTTTTCTTTGAGAAAATGTCAAATACCTAAATCTGAATAATCATAGTTTGTTGGTCAGTTCTTTCAAATAAAAATGATTATTCATAAAAAAAAGCGGCTAGTTCAGCTTACAGATCAGTGGCACAGGTTTTCCCTGAGCTGAAGTGCTGTCTGTATTCTTCCCATTTTTTCACACACAATGTTTAAAAGATGACTATTGAAGGGTATATGTTTATTAAATAACTTTATTAATTCTTTTTGCTACTCAGTCTTGCTCTGTCACCCAGGCTGGAGTGCAGTGGCGTGGTCTCAGCTCACAGCAGCCTCTGCCTCCTGGGTTCAAGCAGTTCTGCCTCAGCCTCCTGAGTTGCTGGAATTACAGGCATGCACCACCATGCCCTGCTAATTTTTGTGTATTTAGTAGAGACAGGGTTTCACCGTATTGCCCAGGCTGGTCTGAAATTCCTGGGTTCAAGCATTACACCCACCTCGGCCTCCCGAAGTGCTGGGATTGCAGGTGTGAGCCACCATGCCTGGCCAATAAAGTTACTTTTTAATGCTTTTATCAAGGACATCCTTTTTTTTGTTCTTGAGATGGAGTTTAGCTCTTGTTGCCCAGGCTGGAGTGCAGTGGTGTGATCTTGGTTCACCACAACCTCTGCCTCCCAGGTTCAAGCAATTCACCTGCCTTGGCCTCTTGAATAGCTAGGATTACAGGCATGTGCCACCATGCCCGGCTAATTTTGTATTTTTACTAGAGATGTGGTTTCTCCATGTTGGTGAGGCTGGTCTTGCTCTTCTGACCTCAGGTGATCCACCTCCCCTGGCTTCCCAAAGTGCTGGGGATTACAGGCGTGAGCCACTGTGCCCACCCTATCAAGGACATCCTTAAATGAATGCCTGGCGATGAAGACTGTAATGATGACTAGTATAGTTTAGAGCCCTGTCTTAATTTGTTTTATCCACCATTGATTTTACATCATCAGTGGAAGTGTCAACACTGAAAAGGTGACTAGGCTGGGCACGATGGCTTACGCCTGTAATCCCAGCACTTTGGGAGGCTGAGGCGGGAGGATCACCTGAGGTCAGGAGTTCAAGACCAGCCTGGCCAACATGGTGAAACCCTGTCTCTGCTAAAAATACAAAAAATTAGCCGGGTGTGGTGGCGGGCACCTGTAATCCCACTTACTCAAGAGGCTGAGGCAGGAGAACTGCTTGAATCCTTGGAGGTAGAGGTTGCAATGAGCTGAGATTGCGCCATTGCACTCCTGCCTGGGCAAGAAGAGTGAAACTCTATCTCAAAAAATAAATAAAAAAAAAAAATTAAAAGGTGACTAATGTCTTAGTGTTATTATGAAACAGTTTTAATCTTGGGATGCATAGGAGCCCACAGACCACACCTGGACCCCTGGTTTCTTAAGGGCTTTCTTCATAAATTATGTCATGTTGCATGAATATAAGTGTAATTACTAAGAGAATGTGTAATGGCAGGCTTGAAAAAAATGATCTGTTTTAAATATGCTGTAGAACTTTCTTTTCAAGGTACTATGCTTTTTCTATAGGAATGTATCCTGTCAGGTATAATGTCAGTGAATGGCAAGAAAGTTCTTCATATGGATCGAAACCCTTACTACGGAGGAGAGAGTGCATCTATAACACCATTGGAAGATGTAAGTGTTAGTCAAATTTCATACGCCTCTCACACTTTGTGAGTATTTCACTTGTGAATCTCTACCTTATTCCTTAGAGATGGTCTTAATTTTGTTTTGTTAAATGGAATATCTGGAGCACTGTTTTTCAGGAGCTTCTGGTTTGAAGCTCATAGAAATTTACATTTTGACTTTTGTTGCTATGTGGAGCAGTTATCTCTTAGCATTAACAGAGAATAGTCTAGGAAGGGAGGGTAGAGGATCGTCTGATGTGCCAGCGCAAGTCCAGTGCTTTCCTCATGGCTTTATTTATTTTCTCAGTCCCTCAAAGATTTTTTTTTTAATCTCCATTTAACATAGTCTCTGTGGGGTTAAAATCTGAGATGGGTTGTAAACCCAAGTTACATGACTACAAAGCTTAGTTCCTTTTGCTATACTGCCTTGTTTCCTACTTTTTTTGAACGTGGACACATAGCATTTCCACAGTGTGTTTTAATATATTGATTGTTTTTCTGCGTGAGGTTTGTTGAACACCTACGTATATGGATATGATGTGTACTGTGTCTTATGGGAGATAGATATCATCAATGACTTTAATCAGTGACTTATTAGACAATACTTACCAAAAAGGATTTTTTTCTATATTCAGTAATACTGAAAAGTTTAAAGAATAATACGATGTATAAAAAAATCTTCCATCAGAGTTCAGCAGTTAAAGTTTGCTGTATTTTTTTCATGTCTCTTTTTTTGTTACTGGTTTTGATCCATTGAAAGTGATAAGACATCATGAGGCTTGAGCAAAATATTTCAGCATTCATCTGCTAAGAATAACATTCTCCTGCATAAGCATAATACCATTATATCATATCCAGAACCATATTCAAATTTCCCAGTGGTCCCAGTAATCTCTTACGTAGCTGTTTGTATTTGGTATAATTTTCTCTTTATTCTCTTATTTATTTTTCTGGAGACAGAATCTTGCTCTGCCGCCCAGGCTGGAGTGCAGTGGCACAGTCTCGCCTCCCTATGGCTTCCACCTTCTGGGTTCAGGTGATTCTTCTGCCTCAGCCTCCCAAGTAGCTGGGATTAAAGGCGTGCACCACCATGCCTGGCTAATTTTTGTATTTTTAGTAGAGACGGGGTTCCACCATGATGGCCAGGCTGGTCTGGAACCCCTGACCTCATGTGATCTGTCTGCCTTGGCCTCCCAAACTGCTGGGATTACAGGCATGAGCCACCACGCCCGAGCGCTTTATTCTTTGTTGTTGTTGTTTGTTTTTAAGAGACAGGGCCTTGCCCTGTTGCCCAGGCTGAAGTGCAGCAGTGCGATCGTAGCTTGCTGTAGCCTTGAACTCCTGGGCTCAAACGATCCTCCTGTATCAGCCTCCTAAGTAGCGGGGCTAAAGATGCATACCACCTGCCTGGCTTATTTTATTTTTTGTAGAGATGGGGTCTCTCTGTGTTGCCCAGGCTGGTCTCAAACTCCTGGCCTCAAGTGATCCTCCTACCTTGGTTTCCCAAAGTGTTGGGATTATAGGTGAGAGCCACCATGCCTGGGCACCTCTTTATTTTCTTAATCTACAAATCTCCTCACAATTTTTTTCTTTTCTTAATTTTGTTTTATTTTATTTTTATTTTTATTTTTTTGAGACAGTCTTGCTCTGTTGTCCAAGCTGATGTGTAGTGGTGCAGTCTCGGCTCACTGCAACCTCCATCTCTTGGGTTCAAGTGATTTTCATGCTCAGCCTTCTGAGTAGCTGGGATTACAGGTGTGGACCACCATGCCTGGCTAATTTTTTGTATTTTTAGTAGAGATGGGGATTTCTTCTTGTTGGCCATGCTGGTCTCGAACTCCTCAAATGATCTGCCTGCCTTGGCCTTCCAAAGTGCTGCGGTTACAGGTGTGAGCCTCTGTGCCTGGCCTAGTATATTTCTTAGCTGATCTTCAATACAATGAGTAAGATTTCTTTTCTTTTTTTTCTCCCCAGATGTATTGAGGGAGTCATGAATTTTTTCTTTTTTTTTTTTTTGAGATGGAGTCTTTCTCTGTCACCCAGGCTGCAGTGCAGTGGCACGATCTTAGCTCAGTGCAACCTCCACCTCCTAGGCTCAAACGATTCTCGTGCCTCAGCCTCCCGAGTAGCTGGAATTACAGGCGTACATCATCACGTCTGGCTAATTTTTTGTATTTCTGGTAGAGGTGGGGTTTCACCATGTTGATCAGGCTGGTCTCGATCTCCTGGTCTCAGGTGATCTGCCTGCCTTGGCCTCACAAAGTGCTGGAATTACAGGCATGAGCCACCGCACCCAGCCAGAATTTTTATTGAATAAATACTTACTAATTTTGCTTATTCTTTTCCACCTTAGCAGTAGGATTCATGAGCTCAAGTGACTGTTCTCTAACTTTATAAGCTTTTTGAAATCTGAGCTTCATTTCAATTCATGTGAATTATAAATTAATTTGAGTATTCTTACCACAAAACATCATAAAAGAACAAAAGGACAATTTTGGAGGTGATGGATATGATTGGTACCTTATGGTGATGTTATGGGTGTACCTTGTGTCTAGACTCACCAAAATGTATGCAGGAAGTAGGCAGTTCTTTATGTATCAGTTATACCTCAGTAAAGCTCAAAAATTATAAATGAACTAGAACTAATTTTAATTATCTTTTCTGATTAGGAAGAATCTAAGGTTTATTTTGAATTCCTTACATAATACAAAAGCAAAATTAAGCCTTTGATAGCTTTTTATTTGGGAGAGAATGAATTTAGATGATTGCTATTTGTCAGTGACACCCTAGTTCTGCATATACAGTCCGTATAGAGAACTATACAGTGTCATTGACAAATAATCTTGTTTTATTTATTTATTTCTTGAGATGGAGTCTTGCTTTGTCACTCAGGCTGGAGTACAGTGGTGCCATCCCAGCTCACTGCAACCTCCACCTCCCAGATTCATGTGATTCTCCACCTCCCAGATTCATGTGATTCTCCTGCCTCAGCCTCTCGAGTAGCTGGGCTTACAGGCACACACCACACCCCGCTAATTTTTTTTTTTTTTTTTTTTTTTTTGAGATGGAGTCTCACTCTGTCACTAGGCTGGAGTGCAGTCACGCTATCTCGGCTCACTGCAACCTCTGCCTCGCATGTTGAAACGATTCTCCTGCCTCAGCCTCCCGAGTAGCTGGGATTACAGGCATCTGCCACCATACCTGGCTAATTTTTGTATTTTCAGTAGAGATGGGGTTTCACCATCTTGGCCTGGCTTTTCTTGTACTCCTGACCTCCTGATCCACCCGCCTCGGCCTCCCAAAGTGTTTGGGATTACAGGCATGAGCCACCATGCTTGGCCAATTTTTGTATTTTTAGTAGAGACGGGGTTTCACTATGTTGGTCAGGCTGGTCTCAAACTCCTGACCTCAAGGGATCCACCCGCCTCATGGATTACAAAGTGCTGGGATTACAGGCATGAGCCATTGCGTCTGGCCTTGTTTTATATTCTTTCTTTTCTGCTAGTGAAAAACCTTACTTCTGCCATATTTGTTAATTTTAACATTTATGAGTTTAGTAATTAATTTACATATATATTGGACCTTGCTAAAAATTTTATCTGATAAAAGATGAAATGCCCTTATACTTTACTAGCATGGTGGTGTTTAGTTATACTAAAAGCACTTAATAAAAAATATGTACATATTGTAATAAAAAATTAAATTTTGTTAACATTATGGCTATGTTTTTCCTTGCTTTTAGTTATACAAAAGATTTAAAATACCAGGATCACCACCCGAGTCAATGGGGAGAGGAAGAGACTGGAATGTTGACTTGATTCCCAAGTTCCTTATGGCTAATGGTAAAGAATTTCTAACTTAAATTTATGACAGTACTTTGATTACAATTTTAATATCAAAACTAACTTTTGACAGAGTACTATTCTGGGTATGAGGAACTGGATTTTGTTGAATGAAACAGCATGGTGAGTAACATGGTCCATTAGATGTCTGGAGTCAATAAGTTAGGAAAGGAAGGAAGGGGTTGTGACTTACTAGTAATTGGTTCTGGAGAAACAAATGATGCTGTGGCATAATACATAACAAGATTGTAAGCCTTTGGCACAGACTTACCTGTTGATGCTTATGACAGTCTTAAATAACTGGGCCTTTTGAAACAGCATTATTTTAATGTTTTTCTAGTTTGTAGGGTTTTAAAATTTTCACATTTTTTTAATTTTAGAGGATCTAAGTTTTCTTTTTCTTTTTTTTTTTTTGAGACGGAGTCTCGCTCTGTCACCCAGGCTGGAGTGCAGTGGCATGATCTTGGCTCACTACAACCTCCGCCTTCTGGTTCAAGCAATTCTCCTGCCTCAGCCTCCCAAGTAGCTGGGATTACAGGTGCGTGCCACCACGCCCAGCTAATTTTTGTATTTTTAGTACAGACAGGGTTTTACCATGTTGGCCAGGCTGGTCTTGAACTCCTGACATCAAGTGACCTGCTCGCCTCAGCCTCCCAAGTACTGTGATTACAGGCTAAGTATTTTTTTAAATTGCTGTAATATTAGTACTTTTTTCTGAGATGACATTGAAAAACTAAATTTTTGGTTATAGGTCTGTTTGTGCACATGAAATAAAGCATCTGCTATCCTTTTTCCTTGTTTGAGTTTATATTCTATTGTTTGTTTTTATTAATTTTTTTTAGAGACAGGGGTTTCACTCTGTCACCCAGGCTGGAGTGTAGTAATGCAATCATAGCTTACTGAAGCCTTGACTTCTAGGTTCAAGTGATCCTCTCACTTCAGTGTCCCACCACACCTGGGTGTTCCACCACACCTGGCTAATTTTTTTGTGTTATGGTAGAGATGAGGTCTCACTGTGTTGTGTGGGTTGGTCTTGGACTCTTGGGCTCAAACAATCCTCCCTCCTTGGCCTCCCAAAGTGCTGGGATTACAGGTGTGAGCCACCTGTGCCTGGCCAATAATACTATAATTCCAAACCTCATATCTCTAATAAATTTTTCATTGCTTTTGCAAAAGCAAGTTGATAGAATTATTAACCTTTAAGTTGTAACATTAAAAAAACCTATGTATTCAACCTTGAATAGGAAAAAAAGATAAAAAATAACAAAAACGTGTAATATGCAGTGCAATAAGTTTGCATTCTGGTTGTCCTATTTAAAATACAGCTTTGGAGGTTATTTTGGGCCAGGCGCGGTGCCTCGTGCCTATAATCCCAGCACTTGGGAGGCCAAGGTGGGTGGATTGTTTGAGCTTAGGAGTTTGAGACCAGCCTGGGCAACATGGCAAAACCCTGTCTCTACAAAACAATACAAAAAAAAATTAGCCAGGCATAGTAGTGCCAGGTACTCAGGAGCGTCAGGCTGGAAGCTTGCATGAGCCCAGGAGGCTGAGGTTGCAGTGAGCTCGTGATTGTGCCACTGCACTGTAGCCTGGGCAACAGAGGGAGACTGTGTCTCAAAAAAAAATTATTTTGTTGGAGTTATTGAACATCGTTAGAAAAAATTTTAGAAGCTGTTAGTATTAGTAAATGTTCTTTATAATTTATAGACTTAAGTTATAGTTTGAATTATGTGACTTTTCTAGGTCAGCTGGTTAAGATGCTGCTTTATACAGAGGTAACTCGCTATCTGGATTTTAAAGTGACTGAAGGGAGCTTTGTCTATAAGGGTGGAAAAATCTACAAGGTTCCTTCCACTGAAGCAGAAGCCCTGGCATCTAGTAAGTAGTTTTATTTTCTCTAGTAACTAGTTTTATTTTCTCAGAATAATGAGATTTTATACTGGAAAAGAGTCTTAGAGAGGACCCAGTCAACAAATATTTATTGAATGTCTATCATGTGCCAGACACTGTTCTAGGCAGTTGGGAACACATCAGTGAACAAAATGTTCAAAAATTCCTACCCGTTTGAAGCTTAGAGTTTAAATGATCATCTATAGATCATGTACCTTGTGGCTGGTGGATCTGAGCTTATCTAGGGTTAATAGTGTTCTTTTCACAGTAATTCATAATAGCTATGCTTTCTGTTGAGTATTTCCTGTGTCTAAAGGCTCTGTACTGAACACTCCATATTGTTTTCTTATTTGACTTCTGAAACATCTCTATGACATAGGGTCTCCATTTTATAGGTGATGAAACTCAGGCCTAAAATTGCATACGTAATAAGTAGCTGGGATAAGTAGCTGGGTTGGAAGTGAAATGCTGGTAGTGTGGCTCCAGAGCCCTGGTGCTTAATCATGTTACTAAGCTTACCCTACGCTATATTACCCAACGTGCCAACAGGAGAAGTACTCATTCTGATGATGCTCATCTTCTAATTGGTCTTGTTAGTAATTCCCAATATCTTTGATTTTAGGAACTCCTGGTGAGTTTTATATATATATATATATATATATATATATATATATATATATATATTTTTTTTTTTTTTTTTCTTTTAAAGACAGAGTCTCGCTCTGTCACCCAGGCTGGAGTGTGATGGCGCGATCTCAGAGGCTCACTGCAACCTCTACCTCCCAGGTTCAAGCGATTCTCCTGCCTCAGCCTCCTGAGTAGCTGGGACTATAGGCATGTACCAACACGCCCGGCTAATTTTTGTATTTTTAGTAGAGATGGTGTTTCACCATGTTGGCCAGGCTGGTCTTGAACTCCTGACCTCAGGTGTTTCACCTGCCTTGGCCTCCCAAAGTGCTGAGATTACAGGCATGAGCCACCGCGCCCAGCCTTGGAGTGATCTTATTCTCTGCCCAACATTATTTCCTCTGTTGCCTCACCAAAGAGTTCTGGTTAACATTTCCTATTTCAGCGTCTCTCTTAAATAGCAAACAGTCCAGAAAAGACCTTTTTGTTCTTCAAGATGTTTTAGTCCTTGTATGGAGCAGTTTGGAGAAGGATAAATTTGTATAACTAAGGGTAGGTGAGGGCTCTAGGAGCTTAGAAGAGGGAAAGTGCTCATAAGTTCTCTCATAATTATTTTGGCATCAGCGCTGAAAAGTTTTCTCATCTGTAAACCTAATTTGAATTATTTTGGCAGTTTCCTCTATTAACTTCTGATTAGGGGAGAAAATATTGGGTATAAAATATTAAAGACATAGCCAGAAAGTAAAAAATACTGCAAAGAATCAGGGCTAGGTTAGGACTGATAATTGGGGAAGGGAAGGAACAGTTTCTCATTCAGTTGCGGGTAGTTAGTAGTGTAATCATGGGTTCGAAATTATTTTAAATCTTTTAAATGACTATGAAAATTTAATCCAAATAAAGTATCTTCATAGAAGTAGGAGTTTGAGTTTGAATAGAATCCTTTTTAACAGTGGTGTGGTGTGGTGGCTCACGCTTGTGATCCCATTGCTTTGGGAAGCCGTGGTAGGAGGATTGATTTAGGCCAGGAGTTGAAGACCAGCCTGGGCAACATAGCAGGACCCTGTCTCTTCAAAAAATAAGAAAATTAGCCAGATGTGGTGGTACATTACTGTAGTCCCAGGTATTGTGGAGGCTGAGGCAGGAGGATCGCTTGAGTCCAGGAAATCAAAGCTGCAGTGAGCTGTGATTGCATCACTGCGCTCCAACCTGGGTGACAGAGGGGGACCCTGTCTCAAAATTTTTTTTAGATAAAAATAAGAAATAGAATTTTTTTTTTTTTTTTTTTTGGACAAAGGTCGTGGGTTCTTTCTTTTACATTTTCTTTCTTGGAGCTCTTACTTATATTAAAGCTTCAGTTACCTCCTTCATCTAATAGAAATTATCGTTTGGCAGTTTTATTTTCTCTGATTTTTTCAGATATATAAAACATTTACAGAGCTTGAAAGTTAAAAGGTATATTTCGAGTCTTGGTCTCATTCTTACTTTTCTACTTCCATTCTTTCTGACCTGTTAGGTAATCATTTTCTGGCTTATCCTTCTTCTGTTTTTTTTTTTTTTGAATAAGCGCATATGCTTCTGTATATATTTTTAAGGCTAGGTTTATTGAGGTATAATTTATGTACAGTAGAAATCACTTGTTTTAGTAAACACTTTTATGCATTTTGACCAAATCACTACCTTATCAGCATCTCCTTATATTAATGGAAAGGATTTTGAAATCTTGAGTTGCAGGCAAGAAAATTCTAGGCAGAATGAAGGAATGGGGTAAGGAAAGGTGGAGAGGTGGCAAAGTTCAAGAGATGGGTGGATAAGTACCAGTTGTTTTATAATTTTAATAAGAACTCAGTTTTTTGAGCACTTACATGCTAGGCATATATGTATTAAGTACTTCATGTGTATTATCTAACTTTACATAGTTCTTCACTGCAATCGTGTGAGATGCAGGTGCTATTACTATTTTTTATTTTACAGATGGGAAAGCTGAGGTATAAAAGGAAAGCACAAAGTAGTATAGCTAGTAACTGGTTTGGAGCCAGGTCTGTCTGACTTTAGAATCCCACACTCTTAACCACAAGAAATACTATATTCTTACGGTATATAAAGCTATTAATATATTGCTTTTTAGATATTTTAACAATGATTACATACCTTCTAATTCTTTTTTTTCCAAAGTAAATACTTGAGTCTCCTTAGTTGTTTCTCATATAATATGCTATCTAGATCTCTTGGCCACTCCTTGGAAATTCTCTAATTAGTCAAGATCCTATATATAATATGGCAGCCAGACCAGAGACAGTATCCCAGATGTTTTCTGCTCATTCAGTGTAAACAGGACTGTTTTTTTCTTTGTCCCCCAGGCTAGAGTGCGGTGGCACAATTTTGGCTCACTGCAACCTCTGTCTCCTGAGTTGAAGCAATTCTCCTGCCTCAGCCTCCTGAATAGCTGGGATTACAGGCGCACGCCACCACACCTGGCTTATTTTTTTTTTTTTTTTCTTTTTTTTTGAGACGGAGTTTCGCTCTTGTTGCCCAGGCTGGAGTGCAATGGTGCGCTCACTGCAACCTCCGCCTCCTGGGTTCAAGCAATTCTCCTGTCTCAGCCTCCCGAGTAGTTGGGATTACAGGCATGCACCACCACGCCTGGCTAATTTTGTATTTTTAGTAGAGACGGGGTTTCTCCATGTTGGTCAGGCTGGTCTCAAACTCCCGACCTCAGATGATCCGTCCGCCTTGGCCTCCCAAAGACCTGGGGTTACAGGCGTGAACCACTGTGCCTGGCCATAATTTTTGTATGTTTTAGTAGAGACCGGGTTTCGCCATGTTGGCCAGGCTGGTCTTAAACTCCTAGCCTCAAGTGATCTGCCCACCTTGGCCTCCCAAAGTGCTGGGGTTACAGGTGTGAGCCACTGTGCCCGGCCCCAGAACATTTATTATTTTATGTATTTATTTTTTTGAAACAGGGTCTCACTCTTGCTCTGGCTGGAGTGCAGTGGCATGATCACGGCTCAATGTAGCCTTGACCTCCTGGGCTCAAGTGATCCTCCTGCCTTAGCCTCCTGAGTAGCTGGGACTATAGGGATACACATGCCTATAATGGTGCAATTTAAAAAATTTTTTGTAGAAGTGAGGTCTTGCTATGCTGCCCAGGTTGGTCTTGAACTCCCGGACTCAAGCAGTTACCTCTCCTCAGCCTCCCAAAAGAGGCATATCCCACCATGCATGCCTATAGTGGTATAATTTTTTAAATTTTTTGTATAAATGGGGTCTTGCTATAATTGTCTAGGCTGGTCTTGAATTCCTGGGCTCAAGCAGTCATCTCTCCTCAGTGTCCCAAAGTCTTAGCACTACAGGCGTGAGCCACTGCACCCAGCCAAGAACATTTATAATTCATGGGAGGAGGTCAAAATACCAACATTAAAAAGAGTTTGGAAGAAGTGAGTTTTAACCCTCTTAGATCACTTTCAGAGATTAAGACTTCAAGACTTTTGACACTTCTGAAACTACTAATAGCCTGTTGTTGAATGGAGGCCATACGGATAACATAAATAGCTAAGTAGTTGATTAACATTTATTTTGTATGTGATTTTTTTTTGTTTTTTGAGACTGAGCTTTGCTCTTGTTGCCCAGGCTGGAGTTCAATGGTGTAATCTTGGCTCACTGCAACTTCCACCTCCCAAGTTCAAGCGATTCTCCTGCCTCAGCCTCCCCAAGTATCTGGGATAACAGGCATGCACCACCACACCTGGCTAATTTTTTGTATTTTTAATAGAGATAGGGTTTTACCGTGTTGGTCAGGCTGGTCTTGAACTTCTGATTTCAGGTGATCCACCTGCCTCGTTCTCCCAACGTGCTGGGATTACAGGTGTGAGCCACCGCACCTGGCCTTGTGATAATGTATTATATACTGTGTTCTTACAATCAAGTAAGCTATAGAAAAGACAGTGCCCTTAAGAAGATGATAAGGAAGAGAAAGTACATTTACAGTACCATACTGGACTTATTGGTACCAAAAGTTTAGGTTGTATGTGTATGAGATGAATTGTCTGTCTGAAATGGCGGGCAACTGCAGCCGCAGACCTGAAGTCAGTTGGTACGTTTCAAGGAATTCAACTTTTTCTTGTAATGTCATGACTTTGCTTCTTGGGAGCACTTCCAGCATCAGTGGCATTCCCTGTGGGTCCTACGTTTTACTCAGTGTTTATGGTGTTGCACTAAACACGATGAAAAATATGTGAGAACAAGGAGAGATCACTTTTTACTGTGACAGATAATTTACTGGAGAGGTGAACTGCTCATGCAGAGATGATTATTGTCACATAGAGTTTTAAGATATTCAAACACTTGAGCTCACCACATTAGCAACAAAAGGTGGCTCCAGAGTTATTACAGTAGTACAGTATGTACTGCAGTTAATCTTACGCAGTTAAGACTTAATACTACATCTTTCTTTGTTTACAGTGGCACCGTGTATGGTCTGTGTTTGTGTGCCTAAGTTTTGTGATTAAATTTTAACTTTGAAATAGAATTGCATATATTTATGATAGTAAATAATATCTACATATATTTTAGCATTCATGACATACATAACTTTTTTCTAATTTTTTTGGTATTTCTAGGCTATGCGGTTCATCTGCAAGTTTTTTCAAATTGTCACAAATCTGCTGGGCATGTTGCTGTGCACCTGTAATCCTAGCCACTTGGTAGGCCAAGGCAGGAGGATTGCTTGAACCCAGGCATTTGAGGCTGTACTGTGCTATGTTCACACCTGGGAATAGTCACTGCACCTCTAGCCTGGACGATATATCCTTATATAGCAAGACCCTATCTCTTAAAAAAAAAATCATTTGGCCGGCTACTGTGGCTCATGGCTGTAATCCTAGCACTTTGGGAGGTTGAGGTGGGTGGATCACTTGAGCCCGAGAGTTCGAGATCAGCCTGGGCAACATAGTAAGACCCCTGTATCTACAAGAAATAGAAGAAAAATTAGCTGAATACCCTGTAGTCCCAGCTACTCAGGAGGCTGATGCAGGAAGATTGCTTGAGCCCAGGAAGTTGGTGGCTGCAGTGAGCTGTGGTTGCGCCACTGCACTCTAGTCTGGGTGACAGAGATCTCATCTCAAAAAGGAAAAAAAAAAAATCAAGTAAAATAAAACGTAGAACTGAAAGAAAAAACAAACCTGGCTGGGCATAGTGGCTCATGCCTGTCATCCCAGCACTTTGGGAGGCTGAGGCAGGCGGATCACTTGAGGTCAGGAGTTTGACACCAGCCTGTCCAACATGGTGAAACCCCATCTCTACTAAAAATACAAAAAAAAATTAGCCAGGTCTGATGGTGCATGCCTTTAATCCTAGCTACTCGGGATGCTTAGGTGGGAGTATTGCTTGAACCTCAGGGGCAGAGGTTGCAGTGAGCCGAAATCGCGCCACTGCGCACTCTAGCCTGGGCGACAGAGTGAGACTCCTTTTAAAAAAAAAAAAACATGCAAACCTCCAAAAATTTTTTCAGTACATTTATTGACAAGAAAAAATCTACATCAAGCTTGTCCTGTCTGTGGCCTATGGGCTGCATGTGGTCCAGGGTAGCTTTGAATGCAGCCCAACAGAAATTTGTTAACTTTCTTAAAACATGAGATTTTTTTTCACAATTTTTTTAAAGCTCATTAGCTATCGTTAGTGTATTTTATGTGTGGCCCAAGGCAATTCTTTTTCTTCCAACGTGGCCCAGGGAAGCCAAAAAATTGGACACCTCTGATCTACATAAAAAGTGGCAGTTCAGATGTGTTATTCAAGGGACAACTGTAAATACAGAAAGGCATATCCCATGGTGATCCATTGCTGTGGGGGAAAGAGGAAGGAGGGAGTGTGAGAAGGACGCTTTAAATAAAGTGATCTGGGAAGGCATCAGCATAGATAAATAGTAGTTGTAAAAAATTATCTACCTAGTAGGGACTAGGTGCAGTGGCTCACACCTGTGATTCCACACTTTAGGAGCCTGGGAGTTTGAGACCAGCCTGGGCAACATGGCGAGACCTTGTTTCTATGGAAAAAAAAAAAACACAGTAGGAAACACGTTATTGATTTGAACTTTTTCAATTAGGAGTTTTTCAGAATGAGCACTGGGTGTTTGAAGTATTTGTAATACAATTATATCTGGTTCTCATGCTGTTAACAGCTAGTCATTGAGATCACTATTTGGCGCCATGCATAGCAACATGGAATTAAGGGATGGAAAAACAGCCAGGACGTCTCTACTGTGCTGTGTAAAACAGGAGTGGCACTGATTTCTATCCCTCTCTGGGTAAGGATCAGGTAATGGAGGAAAATAAAGGAGAGGAAAGAGAAGGAAACATGATAGATTTTTATTTTGATTAAAACAAAAGTTGGTAACAGCAACTCAGGTTTCTATTAAATAAACAAAAGTTGGGAGATACTCCAAAATAACTGTTAGTAATAGCTTTAAGTTCTGACAGGCTGTGCCGACCGGAATATGATACCTAAGTTTTAAGTGCATTGAAATAGTGATTCATGTTTCCTTTTGCCTGTCTTATACCCAGCTCTTACAACTACACTTGTGTCTTAAGTATAGTGCTGATGTGGTAATAGGATATTTCTATTCAGCCTTATGCCTTTACTGTGTGTACATTCTGTCCATTTAAAAGGCTGAATTGTAAATCTTAATTTTAAAAAATTAAATGTAGTCAGTTGTCATTAATAGCCTCATGTTTCTTTTTTTTTTTTGAGACGGAGTCTCACTCTTGTTGCCCAGGCTGGAGTACAATGGTGCAATCTCGGCTCAGTGCAATCTCTGACTCCTGGGTTTATCAAGCGATTCTCCTGCTCCAGCCTTCCAAGTAGTTGGGATTACAGGCGTGCGCCACCACACCCAGCTAATTTTGTATTTTTAGTAGAGATGGGGTTTCACCATGTTGGTCAGGCTGGTCTTGAACTCCTGACCTCAAGCGATCCACCCTCCTCAGCCTTCCAAAGTGCTGGGATTATAGGCGTGAGCCACTACGACCTGACCAGCCTCATGGTTTTAATTTTCAGTTTTGTTGGCTGGAAAATGATCTTGGATGTAATATTAAATCTATCAAAACATTAAGCTGTCAATAGAAACATTTGAGAGTTTGTTTTTAAAACTGTAGTTGTATTTTAAAAATAGCTGTACAGCTTAGGAATGGGGGGAGAAGGGAGATAAAATCAGAAAATTTTCTTTTTTGTTGGCTATTTGTCTATCATCTATGATTAGTTGAAATACAGCCTAGTAATAAAAGCTGAGGATTTATAAAGTGGTAATTTGTAGCTTCTTCATCTGTTTTTTAGTGTAAAATGCAGCGAATTGGTTGCTTATGTAGGACTTCAGTAAAATAAGTGACTAGCAGCAGTAGCAGCAGCATCGAAATTTTATCGAGGTCAATTTGTTCTTGTTATCTTAAGCTGTTATCATTAAGTGCCCGGTTGTATCTTAGCATACAGAGGCGGAAAAGCAAGAGCATTCAGAATTTAGGCAATTGGCTGAGTGTAGATCAGAGTTGTCAAAGGGAGACTCTTCAGATGGGTGGCTTCATGGATACTTGTTCAGAGTCACATTTACCTTGTACCTAGTAAGAAACATAATTTGACATTTTTCATTCAGTTAAGTAGTAGTTTTAATTACTTGTAATTGTATGGTAGAATTGAAGACTTTATAAGTAACCTGTTATAATCGTGTCAGTTTAAGGTGTTGTGAAACTGGAAGCCATGCTGTCCAAACTCCCATATCTTAAATTGCATCCTGCATTTTAGGCGCGGTGGCTCATGCCTGTAATCTCAGCACTTTGGGAGGCCGTGGTGGGCGGATCACCTGAGGTCAGGAGTTTGAGACCAGCCTAACATGGTGAAACCTTGTTTCTACCAAAAGTACAAAAATTAGCTGGGCGTAATGGCGGTTGCCTATAATCCCAGCTACTCGGGAGGCTGAGACAGGAGAATCGCTTGAACACGGGAGGCAGAGGTTGCAGTGAGCTGAGATTGCGTCATTGCACTCCAGTCTAGGCGACAGAGCAAGACTCTGTCTCAAAAAAAAAAAAAAAAAAAAAAATTGCATCCTGCATTCCGCAGTTGATAACAAGGCATGTTTAAACTTTGCTCTCATACTTCGTTCTCCTCAATGTCTGATTGTGAGTGTGCTTTTTGAAAAATTCTTTTTTATTTAGGCCTAATGGGATTGTTTGAAAAACGTCGCTTCAGGAAATTCCTAGTGTATGTTGCCAACTTCGATGAAAAAGATCCAAGAACTTTTGAAGGCATTGATCCTAAGAAGACCACAATGCGAGATGTGTATAAGAAATTTGATTTGGGTCAAGACGTTATAGATTTTACTGGTCATGCTCTTGCACTTTACAGAACTGATGAGTAAGTATTTTGGTTTTTAGATTTGTATTTTTCTTGAAATTCTCACTAAATTTCCCAAGTCTTCCAAGTGGAAATTCTAACAAAACAAATACTTAGCCATATTGCACTATGAATGAAGAGGTTCTAGTTGAAATTAGTGTTGGGACCTTTTAAGTGATTTAAATATAAAGGTAGTGGGCCAGGTGTGGTGGCTCACGCCTGTGATCCCAGCACTTTGGGAGGCCAAGTTGGGTGGATCATTTGAGGTCAGGAGTTCAAGACCAGCCTGGCCAACATGGTGAAACCCCCTCTCTACTAAAAATGCAAAAATTAGTTGGGCGGTAGTGGTGCGTCCCTGTAATTCCAGCCACTTGGGAGGCTGAGGCAGAAGAATCACTTGAGCCTGGGAGGTGGAAGTTGTGGGGAGCCGAGATTGCACCACTGCACTCCAGTCTGGGCGACAGAGTGAGACCCTGTCTCAAAAAACAAAAAAACAAAAAAGAAGATAGCGGATTGAAATCGCTTCAAAAAAAATTATAAATTGAACACCATGAATGAAAACTAAAGCCCTTTCCTAATACTCATTTCCTTTCTTCCAGTTACTTAGATCAACCGTGTTATGAAACCATTAATAGAATTAAACTTTACAGTGAATCTTTGGCAAGATATGGCAAAAGCCCATACCTTTATCCACTCTATGGCCTTGGAGAACTGCCCCAAGGATTTGCAAGGTAAGAGCCTGTGTTTAAAACCTCAGTGATCCAAAACCTCATCTTCAACATAATGTGTATATGAGATATAGTTTAAATAATGAGATGAGATCAGTCTATGAGTAATAAGATGCTTTTTATTTTTATTGAAATAAAATTAACATATAATGATATGCATGGATCTTCAGTTAAAAAAAATCCAGTTTTATACAACTGTAGCTGATGTGCTCTTGTAAGTGCCAACTCCTGGCTGGAGGCCAGCCAATACAAAACCAGCGCACTTAACAAAAATACAACCAAGGACCTTCACAGAATCTACTTCACACCCCTGTTACCTCCACCAGAGTAAGTGCTGGTATCCACGCCTGAGAGACCTGGAGACAGATCACATCACAGGACTCTTTGCAGACACTCTCCAGTACCAGCTTAGAGCCTGATTATCTCCACTGGGCGGCTAGATCAAGAAGAGAAATAACAATCACTGCAGTTTGGCTCTCAGGAAGCCCCATCCCTAGGGGAAAGGGGAGAGCACCACATCAAGGGAGCATCCCTGTGGGACAAAAGAATCTGAACAGCAGCCCTTGAGTTCCAGATCTTCCCTCTGACATAGTCTATCCAGATGAGAAGGAACTGGAAAAACAACTGGGGTAATATGACAAAACAGGGTTCTTTGACACTCTGAAAAGGTCACACTAGCTTACCAGCAATGGATCTAAACCAAGACAAAAATCTCTGAATTGCCAGAAAAAGAATTCACAAGGTCATTATTACGCCAATCAAGGAGGCACGAGAGAAAGGTGAAGTCCAACTTAGCAAAACAAAAAAAGTGATACAGGATATGAATGGAAAAATTTCCAGGAAAATAGCATAAATAAATAATCACAACTTCTGAAAATCAAGGGACACACTTAGAGACATGCAAAATGCACTGGAAAGTCTCAGCAATAGAATTGAATAAGTAGAAGAAAGAAATTTCAGAGTTCGAAGACAAGGCTTTTGAATTAGCCCAATCTGACAAAGACAAAAAAGAATTTAAAAAAATGAACGCAGCCTCCAATAAGTTTGTTAAACAACCAAGCCTAAGAATAATTGGTGTTCCCAAGGAAGAAGAAGAATCTAAAAGTTTGGAAAACAAATTTGAGGGATTAATTGAGGAAAACTTCCCCGGCCTTGCTAGAGATCTAGACATCCAAATACAAGAAGCTTAAAGAACACCTGGGAAATTCATCACAAAAAGATCATCACCTAGGCACATAGTCATCAGGTTAACTAAAGTCAAGATGAAGGAAAGAATCTTAAGAGCTGTGAGTCAAAAGCCTCAGGTAACCTATAAAGGAAAACCTATCAGATTAACAGATTTCTCAGCAGAAACTCTAAAAGCTAGAAGGGATTGGGATCCTATCTTGAGCCTCCTTAAGTTATCAGCCAGTAATTTTGTATCCAGTGAAACAGAGCTTCATAAATGAAGGAAAGTAGTCTTTTTCACACAAACAAGTGCTGAGAGAATTTGCCACTACCAAGCCAGCACTACAAGAACTGCTAAAAGGAGCTCCAAATCTTGAAACAAATTCTCAAAATACCAAAATTGTATCTCCTTAAAGCATAAATCACACAGGACCTATAAAACAATAACACAATGAAGAAAAAAAACAAGGTGTTCAGGCAAACAAATAGCACGATGAATAGAATAGTACCTCAAATCTCAATACTAATGTTGAATGTAAATGGCCTACATGCTCCACTTTAAAGATACAGAATAGCAGAATGGATAAGAACTCATCAACCAAGTATCTGCTGTCTTCAAGAGATTCACCAGACACAAAAGGACTCAAATTTAAGGTAAAGGGGTGGAAAAATATATTTCATGTAAATGGACACCAGAAGCGAGCAGAAGTAGCTATTCTTATATTTTTTATTTTATAACTATATATATTTTAAAAAAAATCAGTTTGATAAATTTATAGACCTATCCCTGTCCTGGGTTTAACTAAAACCTGAGTGAAGGTATAGAACATTTTCCTCACCCCATAAAGTTCCCTTGTGTCACCTCATAATGAATACTGCCCCCCATCCCCAGCAACCACCTCTGTGATTTCTGTCACTATAGATTACTTTTGCTTGTTTTCAAAGTTCATGTAAAAGGAATAATACAATATGTTCTCATTTGTGTCTTTTTCATTTTTTGAGATTCATCCATATTGATGCATGTGTCAGTAATTCTTTTTTTTGGAGATGGAGTTCCACTCTTGTTGCCCAGGCTGGAGTGCTGTGGTGCAGTCTCAGCTCACTGCAACCTCCACCCCCTGGGTTCCAGTGATTCTCCTGCCTCAGCCTCCCAAGGAGCTGGGATTACAGGCATGCACCACCACATCCGGCTAATTTTTTATATTTAGTAGTGATGGGGTTTCACCATGTTGGTCAGTCTGGTCTTGAACTCCTGACCTCAAGTGATCCACCCACCTTGGCCTCCCAATGTGCTGGGATTACAGGTGTGAGCCATTGTGCCTGGCCAATTCTTTTTTTTTAATTGTTGAGTAGAATTCCTTTGTATGAATTATATGAGCATATAATTCTCCTTTTGGTGGACATCTAGTTAGTTTTCAGTTTTTGGCTATTATGAATGAAGGCACTGTGAAATTTTTATGTAAAACACTTTCTGTGGGGATATAGGTTTTCATTTCCTTTTGGGTAAATACTGGGAGTGAAATTGCTGACTAATGTGGCAGATAGAAGTCTGAATTCATAAGAAACTGTAAAACAGTGTTCTGGAGTGGTTGTGTCATTGTGTATACACTCAGCAGTGTATGAGAGTTCTCGTTGCTCCACATCCTTGTCAACATTTAGTATTGTAAGTTTTTAATTTTAATTGCCCAAGTGGGTGTGAAATGCTATCTCATTATGGTTTTAATTTGTATTTCTTGACTCATGTTGCTCACCTTTTCATGAGCTTATTGACCATTTGTATAATTTTGTGCTGTGATTGTTCAAGTCTTTTGCACATTTCTAAAGATTGGATTGTCTTTCTGTTTTTGACTTGTAGGAGATCTTGGTGTATGATGGTGGCAAGTCTTTTGTCATATATGTATTAAGAATATTTTCTCCCAGTTTATGGCTGGTCTTTTGATAAGCATAAGTGTTAACTTTTTTTTTGAGATAGAGTCTTGCTCTGTTGCCCAGGCTAGACTGCACTGGCATGATCTTGGCTCACTACAACCTCTGCCTCCCAGGTTCAAGCAATTCTCATGCCTCAGCCTCCCGAGTAGCTGGGACTACAGGCATGTGCCACCACGCCTGGCTAATTTTTGTATTTTGGGTAGACGGGGTTTTGCCGTTATTGAACAGGCTGGTCTCTAACTCCTGACCTCAAGTGATCCACCTGCCTTGGCTTCCCAAAGTGCTGGGATTACAGGCAGGAGCCACAGTGCCTGGCCTAGAAGTGTTACATTTTGATGAAGTCCAGTATATCAAAGAAAAAATTTTTTTAATGTTTATAGCTTTTTGGGTCCTATTTTAGAAGTCTTTTTTTTTTTTTTTTTTGGAGACAGAGTCTGGGTGTTTTGCCCAGGCCGGATTGCAGTGGCACTGTCTCGGCTCACTGCAAGCTCTGCCTCCTGGGTTCACGCCATTCTCCTGCCTCAGCCTCCTGAGTAGCTGGGACTACAGGCGCCTGCCACCGCGCCCGGCTAATTTTTTGTATTTTTAGTAGAGACGGGGTTTCACTGTTAGCCGGGATGGTGTCGATCTGCTGACTTCATGATCCGCCTGCCTTGGCCTCCCAAAGTGCTGGGATTACAAGCGTGAGCCACTGCGCCTGGCCCTATTTTAGAAGTCTTTTACTTGCCCCCAAGGGCACAGAAATACTCTCCTATTGTCTTTTTTTTTTTTTTTTTAGAAGTTTTATAATTTTATCTGTGCATTTAAATCTGATTCATCTTGAGACAGTGTTGGTGTGTGGGATGAGGTAAGACTTGAGGTTCTTTTTTTTTTTTACATACGAATATTTAGTTGTTTTAGCTGCATTTGTTGGAAAGACTTCCTTTTCTAGGTAGTCGTGGTGCCTTTGTGGGAGATCAGTTGGCTACATATGAGTTTGTTTTGGGACTCAGTTTTGTTTCAGTGATTTGTATTTCCTATGCCAGTACTACACTGTCTGGATAATTATAGTTTTATATTAAGTCTTGAAGTAGGTGATAACACTTTCGCCAACTTTTTCTTCAGAATTTGTTTTGGGTGTTCGCATTTCCATATACGTTTTTAAAATCAGGTTGTCAATTTCTAGAAAACATGCTTGTTGGGATTTTGATATTGAGTTAAATTTGTAGATGAGTTTGGAGAAAATGATCATCTTAATTATGCTGAGTCTGCCAGTCCATAAATATGATTGTTCTCCATGTGGTTTTCTTCTCAGCAGTGTTTTACAGCTTTCACTGTAGAGATCTATCACATTTTTGTTCAATCTCTTTGTACTGATGCCGCTGTTAATGTATTTTGTATTGATGCTGCTGTTAATGAAATTGTCTTAATTTTATGTTGAAATTGTTTGCTGCTGGTATACAGAAATGTAATTGTATGTTGACGTTGTATCCTATGATCTTGTACTTAAGTTTTACTAGTTCACTTACTAGTTTTTCTAGTTTTATATATTTCTTAGAATTATCCTTCTACACAGTCATGTCATCTGTGAATAAAGAGATTCTTCTTTTATAACTTTTATGTGTTTTTCCCCCACTTACCTTTATTGCACTTGTTAGGACTTCCTGATAATGTCGCAGGGATGAGAATGGACGTCCTTGCTTTGTTCCCAGTTTTACGGGGAATCTAGTAAATATTTTACTATTAAATATGTTTTCTATAGTTTTTTTTTTTTTTGTAGATGGTTTTGTCACATTAAGTTCACTTATATTTATAGTTTGGTCTGTTTTTTTGTTTGTTTGTTTGTTTGTTTTTTTTTTTGGAGACACGATCTTACTCTGTCACCCATGCTAGAGTGCAGTGGCATGATCTTGGCTCATTGCAACCTCTGCCTCCTGGGCTAAAGGGATCTTCCCATCTCAGCCTCTTGAGTAGTAGGGACTACAGGCATGCACCACCCCACCTGGCTAACTTTTGTATTTTGGTAGAGATGGAGTCTCACCATGTTGCCCAGGCTGGTGTTGAACTTCTGGGCTTAAGTGAGCATGGTGGCTCATGCCTGTAATTGCAGCACTTTGGGAGGGTGAGGTGGGTGGATCGCTTGAAGCCCAGGAGTTGGAGACCAGCCTAGGCAACCTGGTGAAACCCTGTCTCTAGAAAAACACAAAAAATTAGCTGGGTGTGGTGATGCATGCCTGTAGTCCCAGCTATTCGGGAGGCTGAGTGGGAGGATCCCTTGAGCCTGAGAGGTTGAGACTGCAGTGAGCCGTGATCATACCACTGCATTTCAGTGTGGGTGACAGAGCAGGACCCTGTCTCTTACAAAAAAAAAAAAAGCATCAAACTTTTTTTTTTCCCCCTCTCTGTGCTTCATATCGGAGAATGCCTGTTCATGTGGCTTCAAGTTTACTGACCTTTTCTGCTATTTTCAATAGGCTGTTAATCTCATTCAGTGAATTTTAATTTTTTTATACTGTCTAGATCTAGAGTTCTCATTTTCTATAGTTTTATTTTTTCTTATTTTTTTTTTTTCGAGACGGAGTCACCCAGGCTGAAGTGCAGTGGCGCGATCTCAGCTCACTGCAACCTCTGCCTCCCGGGTTCAAGCGATTCTCCTGCCTCAGCCTCCCAAGTAGCTGGGATTACAGGCACATGCCACCACACTCGGGTGATTTTTGTATTTTTAGTAGAGATGGGGTTTCACCATGTTGGCCAGGATGGTCTCATCTCCTGACCTTGTGATCCGCCCGCCTCAGCCTCCCAAACTGCTGCTTTACAGGCATGAGTCACCGTTCCCGGCCTATAGTTTTCATTTTTGTGATATTCTCTATTTACTTGACTGTTTTGAGTACATTTATAACAACATATTTATCCTTGAATATGTATCTTTGAACAAGGATATTTGTTCTGGAACATATTCTTGAACATATAATATCCTTGAACGTATTTATAATAGCTGCTTTTAAACTGCGTATTTTAACATTTGGGCATCTGTTTCTGTTGTTTGTTTTTCTGTTTTCTTTGGATCACAGTTTTCTGTTTCTTCCCATGTCTAGTAATGTTGGATTGTATACTGGACACATGAATTGATAGTTTGTTGAGATGCCGGATTCTTCCTCTGAAAAGTTGGTTTTGGTTTGAGTAGGCAGTTACATTTTTTTATTGACTGTTCATCTTGCATTTGTGGAGACTGGATTTTACACCTTGTTAAAGTGGGTCCTTTTAGTTTTTCCTTTTGTTGTTTGCTGATTTGTTTTAAATCACAATTTATTGATTTCTTACAATCAAATACTGCCAACTAGCATTACTTCCACTCATGCATCATTAAAAGCAAAGGATATTTCCTCCTTGGTATTTTTAAATGGTACATTATACAATAAACAAAGTTAGAACTTAAAATGCACCCTTATTAATTATGTAAACTGGTAATTTGTTTAAAAAAGCATAACTAATAATTTGGTTCCTTTCTTCATAAAATGGAAATTTAAATATTTCTCCTGATAGTCTTGAGGTGATCATTAGTAGTGCAAAGTGTGGCACACACGTATAGTTTCATCTAGAAAGGTGTGTCTCTTACACAACTTATTTAAACAAAATGCACATTAACAAAATGCATATAGTCAATGCATGAAAGAAAGCATGTTTCAATTACAAGGCAGCCCCTCGGGCCACCATATTATTTAAGTTTTGCATGATCATTTATGGCATTATAGATTAATTATGCATAACATACTTTTATACTTTTTTTTAAATTATACTTTAAGTTCTGGGGTACATGTGCAGAACGTGCAGGTTTGTTACATAGGTATACATGTGCCATGGTGTTTTGCTGTGCTCATCAACCCATCATCTACATTAGGTACTTCTAGTGCTATCCCTCCCTAGCCCCCATCCCCTGACAGGCCCCGGTGTGTGATGTTCCTCTCCCTGTGTCCATGTGTTGTCATTGTTCAACTCCCACTTATGAGTGAGAACATGCGGTATTTGGTTTTCTGTTCCTGTGTTAGTTAACTGAGAATGATGGTTTCCAGCTTCATCCATGTCCCTGCAAAGGACATGAACTCATCCTTTTTTATGGCTGCATAGTATTCCATGGTGTATATGTGCCACATTTTCTTTATCCCGTCTACCATTGATGGATATTTGGGTTGGTTCCAAGTCTTTGCTATTGTGAACAGTGCTGCAGTAAACATAAGTGTGCATGTGTCCTTATAGTAGCATGATTTATAATCCTTTGGGTATATACCCAGTAATGGGATTGCTGGGTCAGATGGTATTTCTGGTTCTAGATCCTTGAGGAATCACCACACTGTCTTCCACAGTGGTTGAACTAATTTACACTCCCACCAACAGCGTAAAAGTATTCCTATTTCTCCACATCCTCTCCAGCATCTGCTGTTTCCTGGCTTTTTAACGATCACCATTCCAGCTGGCGTGAGACGGTTTCTCACATGGTTTTGTGGTTTTGATTTGTATTTCTCTAATGACCAGTGATGATGAGCTTTTTTTCATGTTTCTTGGCTGCATAAATGTTTTCTTTTGAGAAATGACTGTGTTGAGATGGAGTCTCACTCTGTCACCCAGGCTGGAGTTGGAATGGCATGATCTTGGCTCACTGCAGCCTCCGCCTCCTGGGTTCAAGCGATTCTCTCACTTCAGCCTCCTGAGTAGCTGGGATTTCAGGCACCTGCCATCATGCCCGGCTAATTTTTGTATTTTTTGTGGAGATAGTGTTTCACCATGTTGGCCAGGCTGGTCTTGAACTCCTGACCTCAGGTGATCCACCCGCCTCGGCCTTTCAAAGTGCTGGGATTACAGGCATGAGCCACCGTGCCTGGCATAACTTTTATGCATTTTAACCCTGAAGACAAGACAAGTAATTGTTGCTTGAAAAAATTATTCTATGTAGCCATTTGGTTTGTATCTGGAGAAACTGAACCTCCATGAATTTAGTGTGTACTAAGTTGGAATCATTAGCTCGAGTCAGTGAATCAGATACATTTCACAGTGACTGTTTGCCAAGTCCTGGCAATGCCTCTTCTCCCACAGTCTGCCAGATGAAGCATTTCCGGGATTACCCTTCTATGTGGTTTTCCCTTTTAATTTTTTTGCTGGATTAACTGTTTTCGCATTATTTCCTCTTCTCCCCTCTTCTCTGGCCTTCCATTTTAATTATTCATAAATCCTTTCAGAATATCCTCAGCTCCATAAGGGGAAGTTCTGGAGATGGAAAATCCAAGGGAGGAAGATTGGGGATTGGAATGTCCTTGGCTTTCCTGGTATTTGCTGCAAACTTCTGCCAGGTTAAAGAGGCTGTAGCAGTTTCTGAATGTGGCGGCAAGCTCCATAACTCTGACTTTTCTACAAAATCAGCATCTACATCCAGCTCCTTTTCTATTGGACCATTTAGAAGTCTGCCCTTTTCAGCCTTGAGTTGTTTATTTTCTTTCCTTAATCTTTCATTCTCAGCCACAAGGAATTCCACATGCCTCTTCAAATCTGCTTCTCTATAATTGTTTTATCTTTCGGGCCTTTGCTTCTAATACATGGCTCTGCTGGCTCACTCTTTTGCTAAAGTAAAAATAGTAGCGTGTCTGGATCCCTGTCAAAGATCCCTTGAATCTCAGGCAGGCATTTCTCTGTGAAAGGGCTGTGCTTCTGAGAAAGGGGGCTCTGGCTCTCTGCATCCTCAGCAGAGGGTTTGTGAGATGGGCAGCTACATCCTATGTTCTGCTGGGCTTTCAGTCTTTTCACGCTGGGCCCTTTTCCACCTGTCTTGGATGAGGAGGCGCTGTTTCCTATTCCTTTGCAATTCCAGTGAAAAATGAGCCTGCTCAGACTGTCAGCTTCACGGCTTCTGAAGGATATGCCGCAGCCTTTTTGTGACAAGAAATAGCTTCTTTGTAGTTGCTGATAAATGGTCTGTTCATCTGCTCTGTTGATGAGCCAGGTTGAGGGATCCATTATTTTCATAGACTCCGGGGTAAGTGGCAGCCTTAGGAAGGGGAGCAGTGGCGCAGGGGAACATGGAGGGGACTGCAGGGAAGCGCGATGCAGCCGCAGGGACTGTGGCCCCTCTCTGCGTTCAAGAGCCAGCAGCGGGGCGCAGAGGGAGCAACAACCTCACCACTTCCTCCTCCAGCACTGCTCCACGGGCCTGCCACCTGCGCTGCTGCTGCTGCCACGCACGGTGCCATGACGTCACACGCGCAAGTGGCCTCTGCTTATTCTTAAACGTTACTCCTCTGGAGTAAGCAAGCTCCTTTGAACATGGCAATTTTAAACTTCAGACACATTTTTTCTTCTGTCCTTCCTCTATAATCTCTGCTAACCTCTTTGAGCCTTTCAGCTGTTTATTTCTGGTGGATTCCTTCGCTTTTCCCTCCTGTGTGAGCACTTCTGGAGGTAGTTAAGGATTTGAAGATATTTTATCATAGATTTGTTGGCTCCTTCTTTTGAGGCTCCCTCTTTTGTGAAACTTTCCCCTACAATTTTCATCTCCTCTGGCCGCCCCAAATTCTGTCACATCTCAAATCAATAGGACTGCAGGCATTGTGCTTCTGTTGTAGCTGTACCATGTTGCAAGGACTAGGGAAGTTGCTGCCTGAGGGGAAAACCATATAAACTACATAAAGCTCTCACCCACTTGGTTCCTTTCAAGAGTTTCTTCAGTCTCTGGTTTTTGCTGCTTTAAGTCATTCTCCAGTGCTGCCTTTCCCCCCACTTTATTACTATCTTTTTTTGAGACAGCATTTTGCTTTGTTACCCGGGCTGGAGTGCAGTGGTGTGATCACGACTTACTGCAGCCTCGACCTCTCAGGCTCAAGTGATGCTGCCACTTCAGCATTCCGGGTAGCTGGGACTACAGATGAGTGCCACCATGCCTGGTTAATTTTTCTATTTGTTGTAGAAACAGGGTTTCAGCATGTTGCCAAGGCTGGTCTTAAACTCCTGCGTTCAAGCCATCTGCTGGCCTCGGCTTCCCAAAGTGGTGGCATTAGGCGTGAACCACTGCCTTCAGTTCCTTCTGATAGTGTTTTAAGTCCATAGTTTTATTTATATGCCAGAGGATTAGACTAATATAGCTATTACTGGTCAACCCTTCCCTTGGCCTTGCCCTTGCCCTTGCCCTTCCCCTTCCCCTGGGTGTGAATCCAGAGAAATGGCAGATTTGCCTCTGATGTGGATAGTCCCGCGACTGCACAAGGCCATTTTAGAACACACACACAAGGAAAAACAGGAGAATAGACAGTGTGGGGTTTTGGGAAAGAGCCGATTTTAGTTGAAGAAGCAGAGTAAAACCCAGACATCGCATGGCTTTAGGCTTTAGCCTCACCACACTCACGAGCCTCCTGTCCAGGAGGGCCATTAGTGTCTCAGGTCTGCTCAGTGTGGACCCCGAAGAGCCATCCATCAGGGTGAGCGAGGAGGGATAAGCTATGGATGCAGAGCCGCTGCGGCCGAGAGGAACTGTTCCGGTGATTGGTTAGCAAGCGGGAGAGTGGAAAGGGGAGAAGAAAACCGTGTATGGGGGTTGAACGCCTCCAGCCAAAGAAAATGAGGTGTAGAGGTCTCTTACTACTAGGGAATGTATCCGAGTCACACAGCACCAAATGTGTTGCTGGTGGAAGGTAGCCGAGTCACAGGCACCAAAATATGTTACCGTGCTGAGATGAATCCGTACGGGTCTGCAGCAACCTCAGTTCTTTTCTCCTCAGAAGAAAGAATGACCAAGGGGCATAAGGTAGAAGGAGAGACTGAGGCAAGTTTTAGAGCAGGAGTGGACGTTTATTGAAAAGCTTTAGGGCAGGAATGAAAGGAAGGAAAGAAAGTACACTTGGAGGAGGGCCGAGTGGGCAGCTCGAAAGACAAGTGCCTGGTTAGTGATTTTTTTTGACTTCGTATTTATAACTGATTATGTTTGTGTTTTTGACTCTGTTTTCTTGCTTTAATCACTTCTAAGCTGACATCTTTCTAGAAGGAAATTGAACAAATGTATATTGTCTGTAACTCATTAAGATCTAAGAAAGGGGACTTTAGGAGTTGAAACAACTATATATTATTAATTGGGATTTTAAAAATTTTCCAGGCTAAGTGCTATTTATGGAGGTACCTATATGCTGAATAAACCCATTGAAGAAATCATTGTACAGAATGGAAAAGTAATTGGTGTAAAATCTGAAGGAGAAGTAAGTAGCTTTTAAAATGAAAAAAATTACTATGTTCTTGTGAAGAAAGTTGTGTATTCTAAATATTGATTTTGGTGTGGACACTGATGCATATGATTTCTGTATGGGAAGTTAGTATTTATTGTGACTAAGGACTAATTACAGTTGCTGTGCTTTGTTTTAAAAGCATCTTTTTTGTTGTCAGTTGTTGATTATTTTAATATTGAAATATGCATTATGGGTGAGCTCTAAATAGTAAGTATTCTGTATTTATAGAGTTTGGGTTGTGCCTGTCTCCCAAATTTTCATTGAAATTGAACTGTACTTGCAGGCCACCTACACGGGTGGGGTTTTGAGCAGCATTTCTCAAATGTGAATTATATATAAAGCATCATTAATCTGGTTCTAGTGCATGTTCTAATCAGTAGGTCTGAGAAGGCTCTGCATTTTCTTGAAACCTCTTAGGTGATGTGGATGCTACTGAAAAAAAAAATCACAAGGAAAAAAAGATCGTTTCCCTTTATCACCATATGAATTAATTCTTCTGCCATTTGACACTGTTACTATCTGCAACAGTTCTTGCAGTAGAGGATGCACTTCAAAGTGCACTGCTTTACTGTCTCACTGGAATTCTAAAAATCTAAGCTTTATCTTTTTAACATTAAGCTGTGTGGGAATGTAGCAACCTCCTGGGTGGTGGGGTGGGGGGCATCTTCAGTTATTTAGGTCTCACTGGAAAGTTTGAGATCAGAGTTTGGTAGGTGGTGTAAGGGGACAATGAGTAAGGGAGAGAAAATACAGGACTGACTTGGGGCAAAAAACGCCTGATAATAATTTGTGAAGCACATTTTCAAACTCATTTATTCCTTACAAGGATCCTAAGAGGCGGGTATTATGTCCAGGTTATACCTGGAGGCTTAAATGAAGAAACATCTACAAGGGCACACAGTTTAATGAATGGCTGAGGTAGAATTGGAATTAAGGTGTTCCGCACCCACAGCCCTCAGTCGTTATACACCTGAGGATGTAAATTCCTGTGCTGGGTGATGTTAGATTTGTGTGTTTTATCTACTAAAATGTTATTTATTTATTTATTTATTTGAGACATCAAATCGTTTTGCTCTGTCGCCGAGGCTGGAGTGCAGTGGCGTGATCTCAGCTCACTTCACCCTCCACCTTCCAGGTTCAAGTGATTCTCCTACCTCAGCCTCCCGAGTAGCTGGAATTACAGATGCATGCCACCATGCCTGGCTAATTTATGTATTTTTAGTAGAGATGGGGTTTCACCATGTTGGCCAGGCTGGTCTCGAACTCCCGGCCCCAAGTGATCCGCCCGCCTCAGCCTCCCAAAGTGTTGGGATTACAGGCATGAGCCACTGTGCCTGGCCTTCTAGACTGTTACTTAATTGGGTCTTTTGAACATATATTTTAGGCAACTTCTTTATAACCCTGTTTCATCTTGACTGTCGTAGTGTGATTGGCTTATCTGCTTTAAATGAAGTTACAAAGCACAAAAGAAGTCATATTTTGTTTGACATGTACATTACTAGGTTTTGTTAATGCTAACTTAATTCTCAGGTATATCAGCACAAATAGCACTGTTTACCATCCAGGTCCAACAAACTTCACTCAGCCACCTTTGTGGGGTTGGGGTCATCAGTATCACTGTCTTCCATCTCCACATCGTGTTCCACTGGAAGATCTTCATCAGGGACAGTAACACTGCTTGTACTTTCAGCATAATAGTTGTTTAGGAGATAGAGATAAATGGTGTGTTTTTTTTTTTCTTCTCAGTCACCAGGCTGGAGTGCAGTGGCACGATCTTGGTTACTGCAACTTCTGCCTTCCGGGTTCAAGTGATTCTCCTGCCTCAGCCTCCCAAGTAGCTGGGACTACAGGCATGTGCCACCATGCCCAGCTAATTTTTGTATTTTTAGTAGAGATGGGGTTTCACCATGTTGGCCAGGCTGGTCTTGGTTTCTTGACCTCGTGATCTGCCTGCCTCGGCCTCCCAAAGTGCTGGGATTACAGGTGTGAGCCACCGCGCTCGGCCAGGGATAAATGTTTTAATCTGTCTTCTGAAAGTTACTTTTATTCTGTATTTTTCTTTTGTTTCATTCTTTGTGTTTCTGAAACTTCAGGGCTTTGATATGAAAGGGAAGGAGGCTATAATACATTTATCTTGCAATTCAAGTTTTTCTTAGGAAGCATAGCCTTAAGATGATAAGGATTTTAGTCTATGTAGAGTACATTTACTGAGCATTTATTTTTTGTCAGGACACCCACCTATAATGACAGACTTTTTTACACCATTTCATTTAGTTCACTAATGTCCAACCTTTTGGCTTCCCTGTGCCACATTGGAAGAGGAAGAATTGTCTTGGGTCACACATAAAATATGCTAACAGTAATGATAGCTGGAAAAAGGGTCTGTGCATAATTTCGTGATGTCTGCCACCACAAATAAGCAAAAATGTCCTTGCATTCAAGGGGCTGGACGTGGCTGAATTTTAGTACTAACAACAATCCTTTGAGGTTAGGTAGAGCCAGGATTTGAACCCTGATCTGCCCAATTCTAAAACTTATACTTCTGAATACTGTGCAACACAGTTTTCCTAGTATTTGAACAGGATTTACAGTTCATATATCTGTTCAAGGAGAAAATAGTAGGGATAATTGGCAAAGCTAGTTTCAGTAGTTACCGACAGTTTAATAATTACCTTGACTTTTATATTCATTAGATTATGAAGATAACAGATTATATTCAAGGGAAAATTACATTAATATACTGTTTAAAACATTATAGACACTGAATATTAGTCTTTTTCCCTCCATTTTTTTTTTTTGTGATAAAGTACCCATAAAATTTACCATCTTTTTTTTTTTTTTTTTTTTTTTTGAGACAGTCTCACTTTGTTGCCCAGGCTGGAGTGCAGTGGCGTGATCTTGGCTCACTGCAACCTCTGCCTCCTAGGTTCAAGCAATTCTCCTGCCTCAACCTCCTGAGTAGCTGGGATTACAGGTGCCCACCACCACACCCAGCTAATTTTTGTATTTTTAGTAGAGATGGGGTTTCACCAGGTTGGCCAGGCTGGTCTCAAACTCCTGACCTCAGGTGATCTGCCTGCCTCGGCCTCCCAAAGTGCTGGGATTACAGGCGTCAGCCACTGCGCCCGGCCAGAATTTACCATCTTAACCATTGTTAAGTGTACAGTTCAGTGGTATTAAATATATTCACATCATTATACAACCACCACAACCACCATTCATCTCCATAACACTTTTCCTCTTCTTTTTTTTTGAGATGGAGTCTCACTCTGTCGCCCAAGCTGGAGTGCAGTGGCATGATCTTGGCTCACTGCAATCTCTGCCTCCCGTATTCAAGTGATTCTCCTGCCTCAGCCTCCCCAGGTAGCTGGGATTATAGATGCATACCACCACGCCCGGCTAGTTTTTGTATTTTTAGTAGAGACAGGGTTTCCCCATGTTGGCCAGGCTGGTCTTGAACTCCTAACCTCAAATGATCCACCCACCTTGGCCTCCCAAAGTGCTGGGATTTTATAGGTGTGAGCCACTGTGCCCACACTCACTTTTCCTCTTCTAAAGGAAACTACCAATTAAGTAATAACTCCTCGTTCTCTGCTTCCAGCCACTGGCAAGCACCATTCTACTTTCTTTCTCTATGATTTTAACTACTATATTTTATATAAACGGAATAATATAGTATTTGCCTTCTTGTGACTAGTTTATTTCACTTAGCATGATGTCCATGGTTCATCTGTGTTGTAGCATGTGTCAGAATTTCCTTTTTAAGGCTGAATAATATTCCAATGTATGGAAAGATAGACCATAGTTTGCTTATCCATTCATCGATACCTGGATTGCTTCCATGTTTTTGTGAATGTATTGTGAATAATGCTACTCTGAAAATGGGTGTACAAATGTCTCATCAAGACCATGCGTTTAGTTCTTTTGGGTGTGTACCCAGAAGTGGAATTGCTAGATCATATGGTAATTCTGTTTTTAATGTTTGAGAAACTGCCATACCATTTTCCATAGTGGCTGGACCATTTTACATTCCTGTCAGTAGTGGACAAGAAGTTCCAGTTTCTCCATATCCTTGACACTTAATTTTGTTTTGATAGTAGCAATCTTAACGGTTGTGAGGTAGTAGCTCACTGAAGTTATGATTAGTGATGTTGAACATCTTTGCATGTGCTTATTGGCCACTTACATATCTTCTTTGGAAAAATGTCTATTCAAGTCCTTCGATTTTTTTTTTTTTTTTCTTTTGAGACGGAGTTTTGCTCATTGCCCAGCCTGGAGTGCAATGGCGTGATCTCGGCTTACCATAACCTCCATCTCCCAGATTCAAGCGATTCTCCTGCCTCAGCCTCCCGAGTAGCTGGGACTACAGGCATGCGCCACCGTGCCCAGCTAATTTTGTATTTTTAGTAGAGACGAGGTATCTCCATGTTGGTCAGGCTGGTCTCCAACTCCTGACCTCTGGTGATCCGCCTGTCTTGGCCTCCCGAAGTGCTGGGATTACAGACGTGAGCCACCGCGCCCAGCCCTTTGATCATTTTTGAATCAGGGTTTTTTTTGTTGTTGTTTTAGGAGTTCTTGATGTATTGTGGATATTAATCCCTTATTTGCAGATATTTTCTCTCATTCTGTGAGTTGCCTCAACTCTTGATTAGTGTCTTCTGATGCAAAAATTTCTTTATTGTTTTTTTAAAAGAGACAGTGTCTTGCTGTGTGTTGCCCAAGCTGGACTCAAAGTCTTGGGCTCAAGCAATTCTCCTGCCTCAGCCTCCCAAGTAGCTGGGGTTACAGGCACATGCCACCATGCCTGGCTATGCACAAGATTTTTAAAATTTTCATGAAATCCTGTTTTCATGAATTCTTTCCTTTGTTGCCTGTGTCTTTGGTTTTAGATACAAGGAATTACTGCCAACTCCAATGTCATGAAGCTTTTGCACTGTTTTCTCCTAAGAGTTTTATAGTTTTAGATACCACATTTAGGTCTTTGTTCCATTTTTAGTTTTTGTGGATGGTGTCAGGTAGGGTCCAACTTCATTCTTTTGCATGTGGATAGTTTTCCCAGGACGGTTTGTTGAAATGACTTTTTTTCCCCTCATTGAATGGTCTTTGCAACTTTGTCAAAAATCACTGTACTGTGGATGCGAGGGTTTATTTCTGGCTCTCTCCTCGTTTCATTGGTCCATACGTTTGTCATTATGCCAGTACCACACTGAATTGATCACTGTAGCTTTTTAGTGAGTGAGTCCTCCAGCTTTGCTGTTCTTCTTTTAAGATTGTTTTGGTTGTTCCAGAATTCAATCCCTTGGGAACCAATATGAACTTGAGGATGGTTTTTGATATCTTAACAATACTAAGTCTTCCAAACTATGAACATGGGATGTGTTTCCCTATATCCTTGTCCGCTTCAGTGTCTTCTTAAATGCTTTGTTATAGATTGCTCGCTGTAAGCAGCTCATCTGTGACCCCAGCTACGTAAAAGATCGGGTAGAAAAAGTGGGCCAGGTGATCAGAGTTATTTGCATCCTCAGCCACCCCATCAAGAACACCAATGATGCCAACTCCTGCCAGATCATTATTCCACAGAACCAAGTCAATCGAAAGTCAGGTGAGGTTTGAAGACCAGCAGATGTTGGTAGAATTTTGTAAGATATAATTTGCTTTGTGTTTTATCCCAAATTCCTAATTTTGTATGCTGTATTAGTGAACAGACCTTGGTTTACATATGGGGGAAAAAAATCTTTGTACCTCCTCCTGCTCCGGCAGCATTGTGTCAACGCGGACAGATTCAACTCGGAGCCAGCCTTGGACTTGTGTCCATCACCTGTAGAATGAACAGACTGGGCTTGGTGAACCCTGCGTCTCCCAGCTCTAACTAACAGTAGGTTCCTGTGGAGGTTTATGCTTAATAGTTAACTGACCCGAGTATATTCTTGAGCTAATGACATAGCTGCTTCTGTGTCCTTATTTGTAATCCTAGTACCTACATTTGATTCTAGCAGTGTCCACCTTTCATTTCTGTGATCAGGACATGGCTCTAAAATTGCAAGTCCTAACTTATTTGTCTTAGCCAGTTGTTTGTAACCCTTCGATGTTCCCATTTTCCTTTCAACTAGAAGCCCCAAATCTTTTTATTTATCTAAAATTCAGCTTAAAAAGGGTAATCAGGCTTTATGGGACAGGTAAGAGCTATCTGTATAATGATTTTTTTTCCCCCATATAAGAAATGAAATCATGGGAGGCCA